>NC_000006.12:161888971-162040486 GCF_000001405.40 Homo sapiens
CTTTGGGCAGACAAAAATTTACATCCTTACTAATTTAAATGTAATTTAAACATAAGAACCTAAACTTCAAGTTTATTTCCATAAAAACTGTACTTGGATATATGATCGGCAAGAAAATAAAATTAAAAGAAATAAGAGAACTACGGAAATAAAAAAGATATATTCCAAGGTAAAAAGACGAAGAACCCAACAAAGTAACCACGAAGTCAGAGACGCAGAGATGTGGGGTATCTGAGGGTCACCGAAGAAAAGTTTTAAGAATGAAGAATGGACAAAACAACTCAATTTTGAAAACAGAGAGAAATGGAGACCGATGATCACACAAACACTGTATATGAATGTACACAGCAGCTCCAATCGCAACTGCCAAAAACGAGAGCCCAGATGTCCCTTATTGAGTAAATGCTCAAATACACTGTGGTGCCAGCCACACAACAGTCACCACTGAGCAACAGAGAGGGATGAACAACGGGCGCACAGCATCTCAAAGGCATTGCCCTGAATAAAGGGAGCGCCTTAAAGGTTACCTACTGCATGGTTCCATTCATCCAGCATTCTCAGACAGACAGACTGGAGGGATGGAGGCCAGGTCAGGTGGTGCTGGGAGATGACGACACAGCCACAGCTGCAGGGATTTGCAGTGAGGGAAGAGTTTTGAATCCTGGTTATGCCGGTAGCCACAGTAATTTCTACAGGTGTTAACATTCAAGTGTACATCAAAAGGAAAGAAGTCAACACAACTGTAAGACAATTTAAAAGTTTTAAAAAATAGTGTTGGTTGAGAGAATGCATTCAATAAATGTAAACTTCCCTCTTGAGAGTTTTGTTAAAGAAACTGCAGAACTCTTCAGAGAATATAGGGCTAATGAAAATGACAGCTTCCAATTATCTGTAATTTTTTTAATGTTTTCAAAGCACTTATTATTATTTATTGCTAAGAAGCTTAAAATAAAATGTAGTAAGAATAGAAACCAAAAGAAGCCCCATACATTTAGTAATCAGTATATATTTGAAAGTACACGCATTCGAGGAGCAGCTGGGGTCTGAGGCCTCTCACTTAGACTCATGGGGTCAGAACAGGTCTCGTATCAGCTCTCCAGCTCCCAACTTCTATTATTCTGCCGTCTCCCTTGTGTGACTAAAGCAATGAGATGATTTATTCATTCAAATCCTATGAAAATCAGTTCTTATTTTACAGTATTCTGAGAATGTTATCTTACTTCCTAGCTTTTTAAAAGGCTTTCTTCCTGAGATGCTATTTTTCAAAATCAGATTTATTTCTGAAAGAGTCCCTGTTCTCTTTGCCAACCTCCTTGTAGCTGGCAAACTTCCCTTTTTTCCTTCAGGATGAAAGAGGCCTTAATCCATCTTACACAATATTCAGTGTACAGCAGCCCTGGTCTTGGCATCGCATCACACTCAGTAAATGACACAGAGCTTCCCAAGATTTCAGACTCTGGGGTTCCACAACGGAGACGAGAGCAAAAGGATGTAGTCATTTAATCTATGCTATGCGTTCAGAAAAGCTCACTGAGTTTGGGACTCATGGGCTGAAGACGAAGAGGAGCCATGCGGCCGGATTTAAGCCTTGGGGGAATGCTGGAGAAAAGGTGGATGCTGTCTCAGATCTAATGTGGTCCTAACAGAGTTGGGAAGACAGATGTCTGTCTGTGCCGTGAACATAACACTCTGTCAGGGATTTACCCTGGGAAAAGTCTGTCTTTCTCTATTCAAGGCACTGTTGATTCATTTGGGGAACAGAATTCTACATTCCAGTCAATGAATCTACAAGACAATTGGGAAAGGATCACATTAGTTTTTAAATAGAATTTATTTTCCATAGTGTTATTTCACAGCAAACTCTGTTCCATTTCCCGCGCTCTGCCTCCGGGGTCTTAGAACAATCACTTCTTCAGAGGAGGACCTTGCCAACCAGTACACTAGATGCCAGGCGGAACTTGCCTTTACAGCAGAAAATGAAGTGGGCTACTGTGATCTATCGTCAGAGTTTCTCAATCCATTCTCAAGATACCCCGAGGGAGATTTCACTCTTGCTACAAAGCGGGAAATAACAACAATAACAATCACCGCTGTAATAGAACACATTATGAGGGGGCATTCTTTTAAAAGCCTTTAAAATGCTACCAGGAGAGTTTTATGGCTGCTCCAAGTCAGAACTTGGCCGTGTTTAAAAGCACGGGGAGAGGGTGTTCCGGAGGCGGACCCCAGGGGGGCCACAGCGCCTCCCCTTCCCCTGGGGGCTCTGCTAGTTTTTTGGCTGATAGGATCACAGCCAAGTTCATGGGCGCCCCGAGGAAACACTAGGCACAGCTTGTGCTGTTCAAAACAATCTTACCATAAAAGTGACTTTTCTTTTTAATCTAAAAAGCACTTTTTGTAATGAGAGGTTGAAGCTGAGATGCCAGTGAGTTCTGCTAGTTTCTGTTTACTTCCTTCAATTTCGTATTGTTCGGTGTGTGACTGAAAATTGGGTATCAAAGGTAAGTATTAGGGTCTTCTCCTGGGTCCCTAAACATGAGGCTTCGAGGTCTTACAGGCTTGAATAATTCTTCAGAAACTACAGCAAGTTTGTTTTTAGAGTGTCTTCCAAGTACCAGCCCTTTGTCTAACATCTCTACACCCTAAACATTCCTCCCAACCTTTGAAGGACTCCAAATTGTGGCCAGACTACAGGGGATTTGTGAAGTGCATGCATATCTACAGGGGGTAAGACAAATACATCTTCATTCTGACATCATCTAGGTTTTTCAGAGGTAAAAGATGTAGAGTGTCTGAGCCACCTATGGAGAAAGCAGTTAGATCTAATTATAGCTCTTGGGATAGAGGAGCTGCTGTCTCAAGAAAAGCAAATATGTAGGTTAAGAGCCCTGTTCGACCTTCAGAGATCATGCTGTTGCACGCTTGTTAGAGTGATGCCCTTGTTTAGTCCTTACCTAGACATCTCACAAATATTCCTGTGAAGTTTTCTTGGAAGTGGATGGTTTACGAAATTCCCAATACATTTCCTTTGCATCCTGATGGACTCTCTGGGTGACCTCTTAACTATAACCTTTCAAGAAGCAAATTTTTTGAAGTTTGCAATCAGGCAAACAATCCTCACTCTTCTTATAAATTCTCATCTTCCCTAAGTGCTTATATTTGAATATTCTTAAAATAATGGGCTGGGTACAGGGGCTCATGCCTATAATCCCAGTGCTTTGGGAGGTTGAGGTGGGAGGATCTCTTGAACCCCAGAAGTTAGAGGTCAGTCTAGGCAATGTGGTAAAACCCTGCCTCTACAAAAAATCTTTGGACCAGCCACAGTGGTTCACACCTGGTATCCCAGCACTTAGAGAGACCAAAGCAAGAGGATCGCTTGAGGCCAGGTGTTTGAAATCAGCCTGGGTAACACAGCTAGACTCCACCTCAACCAAAAAAAAAAATAAATAAGATTAGTTGGGCATGGTGGTGTGTTTACTTCCTCCAATTCCTTTTGTTCGGTGTATGACTGAAAATTGGGTATCACAGGTAAGAACTAGGGGCATTTTGCTGGGTCCCTAAACATGAGGCTTTGAGGTCTTACAGGCTTGAATAATTCTTCAGAAACTACAGCAAGTTTGTTTTCAGAAACCAAAGAGGCTGAGGTGGGAGGATCTACTCAAGAGGCTGAGGCAGGAGGATCTCCTGAGCGCATGAGTTAGAGGATGCAGTGAGCTATGACTGTGCCACTGCACTCCAGCCTTGGTGACAGAGCAATATCCTATCTCTAAACAATAAAAAAAATTAAAAATTTTAAGTTAAAAATTAATGGTCATTTTGTGAAATTGGTCAGAGTTTAAGGTTTTAGAGAATGTACCTGGTGGCAGAAACCAATATTTAGTTGTTTTATGAGACGGAGTCTCACTCTATCACCCAGGCTGGAGTGCAGTGGTGCAATCTTGCCTCACTGCAACCTCTGCCACCCAGGTTTAACCAATTCTCCTGCCTTGGCCTCCCGAGTAGCTGGGATAACAGGCACCTGCCACCACGCCCGGCTAATTTTTGTATTTTTAGTAGAGATGGGGTTTCACCATCTTGGCCAGGCTGATCTTGAACTCCTGACCTCGTGATCCACCTGTCTCAGTCTCCCAAAGTGCTGGGATTACAGGCGTGAGCCACCGCACCCAGCCCATCAATATTTTGTTTTAAAGGTGCTTAAAAAAGACATATTTATACATTCCCCTTTTATAGTTAAATCAAAAGCGGCTTTTGGTATGCTCTTTCAAGGCAAAGGTATAGATAATCCCAGCCATCAGGATTTTACTGAGTGATTGAAAGTAGAGGGGTACCATAGAATACTAACATATCAGTAATTAGCTTAGCCAGTTAAAGCACAGAATTGAGGAGGGCTGGTTATCTGTTCACACGCCATGAAGTTGAGTTAGCTTTGTTCTCATCAGGAAACAAAGTATCCTATAGATGCCTAATGTTAGAAACAACAATAATATAGTTTAAATAGACACTGGGCTCAAACCTTAAACACTGTCTGTGCCTTCACTATGTTATCACTACGTTACTGTTGCAGGAACAGAGACAGACTAGAGGAGCGACCTTGGGCAAGTTCTTCATCTTTTCTGAGCCTCAGTTTCTACATGTAAAATATGGACCAGTCAGTAGTATCCACCTCAGAAAGTGTCTCTGAAAACTAAATAATAGGTTCTTTACACACACTGCTTGGTGCCTGGCAAATAATAACTCAACAAATATAAGATGATAACAATGATCCCATCCAGTCCCAGCCACAAAGTGAGCAAGAAATAATGATTCAGAGTTTTAAAGGAGCTGTGTCTTTCTTATTCTGTTACTCTGTGGATTCTGAGACTTGCTCAAGATGCTTCATGCCTTTCTCCTTAAACCTATCTGTGTTCTCCTCGACGGATCTGGGTAAGTCATCTCTCCACTGCCAAACATTTTGGCACACGATTTGTCACAAAGAAGAACACAAAATTATTTTTGAATGAACAAACATATGAAGTAAAAAGCCACATTCATTATCGATCCTATTCCTATCCCCAGCTAAGTTCTATGTGCTATAAATAGTGAGTTCTGTTTGCATTAAATGGTGTGACCTTCTCCTGTGTCCTCAGATGGAAAGTTCTCACCATTGGAGACTTTTCTGACACTACTCTCTCTTCATTAGCTCCACTACCCACCTGCCAACCCCTTCGACCTACCAACCCCACCATGAACTACTGACAATCTTTCTGTGGCCACTGCCTTCAATGACTTTCCCATGAATTCCTTTCCTTTTCTACTGTGGTCACTGATTTCATGCGAGTCTCATTATTTCCTTCCTAGACCACTATGGTATTCTTATAACATCTCTCTTCACCCCAGTTCAGACTATAAATGACTGACATATTAACCTTCCTCAATCATAGCTGTAAAAACATTCCTACTTTTTCCAAACTTTTCAGCAGTTTTCCATTCCCTTCTAAACTACAACCAAACTCATCAGGATGGGATTCCAATCAATCCTCACCACAGCACCTGCCTTTCCAAGCCTCATTTCCCATTTAGTGCTTTGCTTGGACCTTAATGTATCTTAAATACTTCCTGTTTTCAAATCGTGCGTTACTCATGCATTTCTCCATGTCTGGAATATGCTCCTTGCGATATACTTATCTTTGAAATTCTTCCCGTGTTTGTGTCCTAAGTGAAATTAGCCTTTCTCTATGGGAACGTTTTCACATGCCCTTCCAGGTGGTCACAGATCCTAGTGATCTCTTTTGTATGCGCTTCTAGACACATTGTTGATATCTGGCTTGCCATATTGGCAGAATTATTACTTACAAACATTAAAATGATATGCATGTTGGACAAATGTGGTCCATCATTTATAACTGTATTTATTTAATGAGGATATGATTTGGTCCTGTTCTAAAGTCTAATTATGTGCTTATTCCACCAATGCTTAAGATGGAAAATTTGAAGCACCTCCAAAATCTGAGGTGGGAATAGATGTTATTTCTGAAGATCTGACCTCACTCTGTTATAACAATATTTTATAGACCGCTTATTTGTTGCTATTTTTAAAACTTTGTATTGACTTTCCTTACATTTGGTTGCTTTCATGACCAGTGAAAAAACTTTCAAGTTAAAATATAGCTGAGAAGAATGAAAGAGAAATGGTAATGTAAAGCTTCACATTTAACTGCCACAGCAGGAAAACTCAAAATTGAATTCCAACCCTAGCTACTAAACACCCTGGTAAAGCTTTGCTCCAGCTTCACTGAGCCAGGAAATTTCTCTCTTTTCCCCTCTGACACTAGAGTCGGCAAGAGGAGACCTGAACGATTGGCATAAGAAAATAAATACCCCTTCCATGGAGGGCTCACAGAACTAGAGCCTGCTAACCGTGGCTGGACTTGCTTGCACCCTGAAGGTGCTGACAAGGTGTGCAGGTGGCCAGGAATCTAAAACACAACACTGCCTGGGTCCCCCTGGGGAGCCAAACCCCAGTGAGGCTTCTGAGATTCAGGAGTACGCCCACCCCACCTGCCGTTATGCCCCCCAGTGAGGCTTCTGAGATTCAGGAGCACGCCCACCCCACCTGCCGTTATACACCCCAGTGAGGCTTCTGAGATTCAGGAGCACGCCCACCCCACCTGCTGTTATGCTCCCCAGTGAGGCTTCTGAGATTCAGGAGCACGCCCACCCCTCCTGCTGTTATGCCCCCCAGTGAGGCTTCTGAGATTCAGGAGCACGCCCACCCCACCTGCCGTTATGCTCTTTTTCACCCGTAGTTAGCTGGGGTGCCTATGAGTGCCTCAGTAAATATCTGTTGAACAAACAATTGAATGGACACATGAATGAATGGATGAGGGCACAGTGGGGGTAAGGGGCAGGGTTGGAGGGAAGAATTCTTAGAGAAGCTGAGCAGTGAAGGAAAAATAGGAATTACCCAGACGAAGGGAGCTGGAAAGGACTGAGGGGCACAGAATCAGCTGAGCTGGTGGGAAGTGAACAAGTAAAGCTAAGGGGCTAGAGACCACCTTGTTATCAGTAAGAAGGGAAAATCCCCTCAGCAGTGTTGGAGGAGAGACTAAAGTGCGGGTGAAGCAGGGCAGGTGTGACGGGTGATGAATAAATTATGTGAGAGAAAATATAGCTGTCAGGTATGCTTATGAGACACTACATTTATGTGTAGAAAGGACTATGGAAGAATTGAAGGTGGCCATGAATTCTTTTGCCCTCCTCCTATTGTAAGGTGGGGTCTCCCCTTGAACCTGGGCAGACTCTGTGACTACTCTGCTGAATAGAAGACAGTGGAAGTGCTGCTCTGTCAGTTTTGGGGCTCATGCCTAAAAATGGGCAGCTTCCATTCCCTGTCTTTTAGATCACTCTCTCTGGGTGCCCTGAGCTCTGACACTGCCCATTTAGCAGAGGCCATGTGTCTATCTCCCATCAACAACCATAGTGGAATCCATTCTTCCAGCCACACCTACCAAGATGCCTGACATGTGAGCCCCTCCACCAGCTGAGCACCACCAAGCAACCTCAGTCAACGCCATATAGAGTAGAAACATCCCCTGACCTAGCCCTGCCCAAACCCATAACCCACACAATGATAAGGCAATAGATAAGGAAAACACGGCATGTAAGAACTAATGGCGACGGGAGGAGCTGGGGGAGCAGGGGAGGTGATGTATGCTTATTTTCACAGGACCAAGCTTCGTAAGTGTTTACAAGATGGTGTTGTCACTGTTGGGGGCCTTTTCCAATATTATACTCTTGCCTGTGGTTCCAGGTTCATTTCCTTTTTCTATATCTCAATTCCTGATGCTGAAATTAAATTTGGAACAATGAAAAAAAAATTCCACTGGATCTATTTTCTGGTCATGTTCTATTCCTAGATAATATAATATTCAGAGGACAGAAGAAAACCCGTCATTGTTGTAGAAAGGCGTGTTCAGCACGCACAGTCACGTACAGCACATTGTGGTGTAATCTCTTGGGCATGATAGAATTGGAGGACAGGAAGAAATGATTCCAGTAACTCAATCAATGACCGATGATATAGTTTTCTGAGTATTCCTAGTATCTTCTAACTTTCTCTTCTACATGTTGGACACTATCACTGTCTCTATCCCTTGGCCTAGATAGCAGCTAAACAGCCGATAGCTGAGCCAACAGTGTTCAATACTCATATCCTCTTCTTTGTTCGAGCTCAAGTGAACACGTGGCATTCATTCCTAACTGCAGCCTCCTCAAGCCCAGAAGCCTGAATCTGTTTTTTAATTTAGCAGTGAAGAATGCAGCTACATCACATGCTATGAGAGCAGCTGGTGTTTCATGCTTCTTCTCTCCTATCATCCCTCTCATTCAACTTCTCTTCTTTTTCAGATATGCGGTCACCTTATTTATGTATGTGTTGAGGCTCCCTTTCAAGACTCCAAAAGGTCTAATCCAAAAAATAGCTGCTAAAGTATTATCTCTTTTTTAGGCCCATTTTCCTTCTGTAAGAGAAGAATGCTTCATTGGGATTAGGGAACATAGTGGTTTGATTGATTAGACTGCTTACCAAAGCAATACAATTTCAAATGATAAATAACAGATGTGGGTACTCTATACAGCAATTGTTTAAAAATAATTTTGCTTCTATAGTACATTTTGGCTTAGAATTGTGTGCTTCTACCCTCTGTGATAATTTATGTTGTTCATGGCATATAAAATGTCTCCCAGTTGCGGCCGGGCGCGGTGGCTCACGCCTGTAATCCCAGCACTTTGGGAGGCTGAGGCGGGTGGATCACGAGGTCAGGAGATCGAGACCAAGGTGAAACCCCGTCTCTACTGAAAATACAAAAAGTTCCGGGCGTAGTGGCGGGCGCCTGTAGTCCCAGCTACTCGGGAGGCTGAGGCAGGAGAATGGCGTGAACCCGGGAGGCGGAGCTTGCAGTGAGCTGAGATCGCGCCACTGCACTCCAGCCTGGGTGACAGAGCGAGACTCCGTCTCAAAAAAAAAAAAAAAAAAGTCTCCCAGTTGCATAGAAAAGGTTTTTCTCATCTGCTACATCTTCAATTAAATCAAGAACAAATCTCTGATTATTGAGTTTTAAGAAGGATGACTATAACAGAACTTGTAGCAAATTTTCCATAGTAAAGCAAAATCACTATAATTGATACTTGTAATTGATACTTTAAGCTGCCTTGTATTTGCCAATTTTCCAGTTAAAACGAATCTGTAAAACTAAGATATTACAAATGAATTTCAATCAGCAATCAGATCAATTTGGCACAGTGAACCCTTTGAATTACGGAAGTATTTTACTTAAAGTTTCATGAGGAGTCCTGATGCATATAAGGTAGAAGGGAAATGAGCTACAGGTTCTAGGGAATCACGAAGGTCCCACGAGCAATAATATTTACGCATTACATCTGTATATTGCTTTACACTGTTCACAATATCCTTTCATCTACATAATTTTTATGTACACTTCACAACAGTTCTCCAAATGGATATAATTATCTTCATCGTGCAGCTGAGGAAACGGAGGCACATACAATTTGTGCTCCTCACAGCCATCGTTTATGGGAAAACGCTGTGGCTGAAGTGGGTCATGCAGATGATTACTAAATGGATGTTTTCAAAGCTAAAGTTGCGGGCATCTTTGCTGACAGTGGAATGTCATTTTGGTACTGGGCGAAGCTATCTGGGTAGACAGAACTTCCAGAGTGATAGGTGGCAAGTTTCATAAAATGTCTGAGTTTCTTAGCAATAGTTAAAACATGGTTTAATCAGATGATAATTTTGGTGATTCCCCCTCCCTAGGCTGCAACAGCTTTAATTTTAAGAGAACTGAGGTAGTGGTCTAATTCCTATTGCAAATGTACGCTTGTGGCTTCTTCGTAATTTGCAGTGAAGAATCTAGAAAAGTGATGGGGAATAATGTCTAAAAGGCCCGGAACGCTTATAACTCAGCATAAAGCAGCCTATCACAGCTCAATGGCAAATCATCGGTTGAAGTCAAGGGCAAAAGGGCAGGGAATCCAAGGGCTCCTCTGCCCAAAGCATCGCTTACTTGAGGTTGGCAGCTGGCTGCACAGCAGCCCTTGGCTGCCTTCAAGGACCGGCCAGAGTCAGCATCCTCCACCCCGCAGCTATGTCAGCGTGGCCCAGACAGTGACTGTGGAGTGGGGAGGCCCTGGCCAGCCAGGCACACATTTCACAGATGAGGCTGAAATGAGAAACTTCAGGGAGATATTTGCATAAATATATTTCCCATTGTCCAAAAATAAGGCCAGACGGAAACATCTTTCAGTATGTTCCGATGAGAATTACAAAATGTTATACAAATCAATTTTTTACAAAGGTTATTATGAGGTTTATTCTGACAGAGGACAAAGCCTTTCCCCCCTTATTAAAACTGTTGCTGACATCACTCTGAGGGAAGTCTTGGGAAAAACCAAAAATAATATGTAGGTAATATTTTGCAATTTTATCAAATATTTACCAAAGGCTCAGATAAAAGATATCCAGCCACAGGTGAAGGGTGTTCATCACTGGGAAGTGGGGTTGAGGGGAATGTTTATTTTCTCACTCATATTTTTCCATTTGCTACGGTAGCACATCCTACCTTTATAAACAAAGATATTTCCCACTGCCTGGCTCTTCTCTTCAGCTTATCGATGATATCACCTGCTTATCTTCGAATGGGTCAGAATCAACAACTACTTACCAAACATACACTGTCCTTTTTTCTAACCAATTATTTTTCTCCAGTCATCTACAAATAGGTCTTCAAGGCGTATTCCCATACGTTGTACTATGTGTGTATTGTGGGATTGAGTACAGCAGGGAAGTCATATATTTTAAAATATGGACAACCGGGCCGGGCCAGGCGGCTCTTGCCTGTAATCCCAGCACTTTGGGAGGCCGAGGTGGGCAGATCACTTGAGGTTAAAGTTCAAGACCAGCCTGGCCAACATGATCAAACCCTGTCTCTACTAGAAATACAAAAATTAGCTGGGCGTCTGTAATCCCAGCTACTCGGGAGGCTGAGGCAGGGAGATTTGCTTGGACCTGGGAGGCAGAGGTTGCAGTGAGCTGAGATCATGCCACTTCACTCCAGCCTAGGTGACAGAGTGAGATTCTGACTCAAAAATAATAAAATAAAATAAAATAAAATAAAAATATAGATAATCGGAAAATTTTAGTGAATTCAGAGGAAGCAGAATAAATTTAAAGCTGAAATTATCGAGAAGGTCTTTCTGGAACTGATAGCATGTAAATTGGACTATGCACCGTGCAGGTGAGATGTGAACGTGTTGAAATGGAAGTGAGAGGGAGTCCACTGAGAAGCAGCAGCAGCAGCATCAGGAAACAAGACATGGAGCTTTGGGTGACGCCAATAACACATGAGCCTGGATGCTGCTGCCACTGAGTGTGGGATCAAATTAGAGAAAATTAGAGAAAAATAATATATATTTTTATATATATATAAATTATACATAATTTACTATGTAATATATAATATAAATTATATATTATAATATATATTATATATACAACATATCTTTTATATATATTATAATATACATATTTTATATGTTATATATTATGTAATATATTATATATTAATATATTATATATTAATATACTGTAGTATATACTATAATATACTATATATTATATATTATATATAACATATATTATATATGTTATATATAATATATTATATATTATAGTAATATATCATATAATATATAATACATTATGTATAACATATATTTATGTATTAAATATAAATATATACAACATACATAATTATATATAAAATATAAATATATAATAAAATAATATGTAATATATATTATGTATTGTATATTATATATAATTACATATATAATATATAATATACAATACATAATATATATTATATATAACACATATGTTAAATTGTATATATATATATATATTTTTTAGATGGAGTCTCGCTCTGTCACCCAGGCTGTAGTGCAGTGGTATGAGCTTGGCTCACTGCAACCTCTAACTCCCAGGTTCAAGCAACTTTCCTGTCTCAGCCTCCTGAGTAGCTGGCACTACAGGCACATGCCAGGACGCCCGGCTAATTTTTTTGTATTTTTAGTAGAGATGGGGTTTTGCCATGTTAGCCAGGCTGGTCTCAAACCCCTGACTCAGGTGATCCTCCTGACCTCAGGTGATCCACCGGCCTTGGCCTCCCAAAGTGCTGGGATTACAGGTGTGAGCCACCGCGTCCAGCCAATAATCAATAAATTTAATAAGAAAAGTAAAAAAGCAGTTTGGATCGATGGCCCAAGGAAGAGACGTAGTGTACTGAGTGCGAGGAAAAGCATGTCTCCAGTATGTAGTTAAACTGCAGGATAAATCAGTCCTGCCTGGGGGAGAGAAAAAGTAGGGCAGAGGATGGGCAGGCCAGTCTCCTTCACCCCTGTGCCTGGAGTGAGTAAATTCGTCTCATTTTCCTCATGTCCAAATACTCACATCATGAGATATTACAAAGCTGCCAAGACAACACACCTCAGATTTTCTGAAATGGTCTAAATTTCAAATATTCCACTCCACTCTGCCCATAAGTGTTCTAATGTGGAATTTTTGGTCTGGCATACAGAAACAACGGCATTCAGACAACAGATTACAAACAATGGAGCGGGTCTGATTTAAACAGGGAGAAGGACATAAAAATGTAGATATTTGCCTTAAAACAAATATTAACAAGAACAGGTTTTGATTGTTACATTTTGTAAATTCATCGTGGCTGCAGGAAAGACTCAGTGATTTATGCATTTGAACAGAGAGAGGTATGATGGCAAAAGGACGGTGATTTTGTCCAGGAGGTAACTGGAGATTCTCAGAAAGGGTCCTCTGACCCTGCTGCTGCAGCTGCGAGTGCTTCAGCTTGGGCTGCGAGGTGCAAGTTCCCCTGGAGAGAGTGGGATGCCGAGTCATGGAGCCAGCAGCCTAACCTGGCCTGCACATTAAGTGATGAATCAGAGCGTGTGATGCTGACACACGGGGCTTTGCTTCCGAATGGTACTTTCTTCCCAAACGAAAGGCAAATTCCTCTACCTCCATTTCACTGCAATGTTATCAATAGCAGACTCTTCCTTTGACTTGAGAAAAATAGGAGAACAGGGGTTTCTAAGTTAACATTTCCCTAAAGACCCTGGCTGGGCTTATGCTGCCTCTTTCCAGCAATGCGTCAGGGCACTCCCCTGGCCGGCCCCGTCCTCGCACCCTCTGTGAGCATGGTCTGCTTCATCCCACTTGCAAGATGTCAAAACGTCACCAGGCTGCAGAGGCTCAGAAGAGACTGGCTTCTGAACTGGACTTTTGATTAAATCACGAGAGAAGACTGCTGTGTAGTCTTTTCAAACTGTGTGTTGTGATTCAATAAGAAGTCTAACCTAAATGGGTTAAGACGGTCTAAATATTTCATATGGTTTTGCTTATTCACTCAAAATAATTATATTTTTAGGCAGAGAGTGGTTTAGAGTCACTGGTGTGTGTGTGTAAATGTAATAGACATCCGTCTATCTATCTATCTATCTATCTATTTATTTATTTATTTATTTTTTTTTTTTTGCGACAGAGTCTTGCTCTGTTCCCCAGGCTGGAGTGCAGTGGTACCATCTCAGCTCACTGCAACCCTCCGCCTCTTGGGTTCAAGTGAATCTCCTGCCTTAGCCTCCCAAGTAGCTGGGATTACAGGAGCCTGCCACCACGCCTAATTTTTGTAATTTGAGTAGAGACTGAGTTTCGCCATGTTGGCCAGGCTGGTCTCAAACTCCTGTCCTCAAGTGATCTGCCCACCTCGGCCTCCCAAAGTGCTGGGATTACAGGCGTGAGCCACCTTGCCCGGCTCATCTATGTATTTCTTACATAGGACAAAAGCACTAAGGCACAGCGTTAGGGAAACACCTCATGCTGCCTGTATAAACCCCTGCTCTCAGAAAGTTGTGTGCTGCAAGATGGGCAAGACGGTGCACTGTGCTGGAATACTGGTTTCTGGCTGGTTCTCTACTTAACAAGTAAGGCAGTGAGTCATCTGATCCTCACCTTCAGGGGAACTGTTCATCGCTATTGTCTTTAAAGGCAGATGTCCGAAGTTGCCCAGCACCCAGTGTCTAGATCTAGTGAGAGGGATTTAGAGGAGTCTTTCCAAAGGAGACAGGACGGAAGCAGCGTTGTGCTGGAGGCGGCTGCACTGGCTCTAGAGCCAACTGTGTCTTTCCTTCCCAAGTCTGTACTCAGTGAGGAGACACTGGTAGCTTGAAGCTGGCCCAGATGGGTGTATTTACACCACAGAAATTGGCAGCAACTGCAAAGTGGGCTCTTTTGTTTACCTCGGAGATCTGCTTGCTAAACTTTCACCAATTGTTGGATGAAAGCTAGTTCTGAGTCAAAAAGATGAATATGTCTTGACCAAGGAGACAGAAGTCAAACTTCGCGAAGGCAAAGAAAAGAGGGTGGGACCTTCGTTTCTGAGCTGACAGCCGCCATCTACCTCCATGCAGCCTCTGATGGGAGGAAAATTGTTGTTTTTAGGGTGAATGAACATCAAATATTATTTGTTGGGTTGCCAACCAATTTAGAGTCAGAAATACAGGGAAAGACAGAGGACATGAGCTCATATTTTATTCCTAACAAAACCTACAAAACACAGTGCTTTGGATTTGTGGTCAAAAGGGCTGATGAATATTTTGCCTCAGAATGAAACAGATATACCCACTTAAGTATGAGGAAAGAGATAAAGAAAGTGTGCAGGGAGGAGCCTGGGAACACAGAGAACTTTCTTTTTTTCTTTTTCTTTTTTTTTTTTTAATGGTCCCTTTTATTGTATGTATGCGCAGTGCTGGCCTGGCTTTGCAATGCAAGTCCTCAGTTAAGATATAGTCAAATAACTATGGCTGCAGTTTCGTCTGCAGGATCCACAATTCAGATACAAACAGGGAGCTGGGGTGGGCAGGAGAAACAGGAGGGAAGCAGAGTGCAGACTGTCCCCAGCACTGGCCTCTTCACACAGGGTTGGCCCAGGCAGACACACCCCATGGAATGATGAGGAAATGACAACATGGTCCCTTCCCACAGTGAGCCTGGGGCTGCTAGGAAACTGCCCTTCAGAACCTTTGTGCCCAGGTTGTCTTGGAGCCCAACAACTTTTTATTTGGATTAATTAAAAAATAATAAGTTAAAATTAAGCAACAGCTGGGTCCTGAGGATGCTGAGCCAGCACGCCCACAGTTTGGGGGGAAAAAAATAGCCAGACCTTTTTTGAGGGGGCAAGGTGTGTTGGCTTGTTTTCGAATTTGTGGGGTTTTTTTTTTTTTTTTTTTTTTTTGAGACAGAGTCTGGCTCTGTTGCCCAGGCTGGAGTGCAGTGGCACGATCTCAGCTCACTGCAACCTCCACCTCCTGGGTTCATGCCATTCTCCTGCCTCAGCCTCCCGAGTAGCTGGGACCACAGGCGCCTGCCACCACGCCCAGCTAATTTTTTGTATTTTTAGTAGAGACGGGGTTTCACTGTGTCAGCCAGGACGGTCTCGATCTCCTGACCTCATGATCTGCCTGCCTCGGCCTCCCAAAGTACTGAGATTACAGGCGTAAGCCACTGCACCCGACCTCAAATTTGTTTTTAAAAACACATTCCCTGTGAGGTAAGACCGCAGGGGGTGGGCCTCTGTGAAAGCCTGAACTTGGGATGTGCCAAGTCGCAGATTCAGCCAACACCATCTCTGTATCCTCTTGGGAAACAGGGACTGGGGATGGGGGTGTGGGTCAAGAAGAGCGTGTGGCCAGCAAGATGGGGTTGTGCAGAGGCCGAGCTGCAGAGACAGACCTTGAGATGCAGAGGACAAAAGGCAAGGGAATGGGAGGTCTGATGTGGGGGGAGTCAGGATAGGACTGCAGCCGTGGAGGTCAAGGTGTGGATGGCTCTGCTGCTGCATTCTTCCCCTCCCAATTTCTGATTGACATTCTAATTTTTAACTCTTACACGGACTTAAATTTTGTTTAATGCTTAGCTACATCTCCATCTGCGAAGTTTGGTCCCCACCTTGAATATCCACCACGTAAAATAAAGAAACAGGAGCCTGGGCGGTATTTTCACCTCGTCTCCCTCCACTTCCCAGCTTTTTTTCAACTATACCATTATTGTTACATTTTCAAGATTTGTTACATTTACGTTTTATTCTGTTAACAACCATGATTACATGCCTTGCCTCTGAGTGGATGCTGGAAGTGAAATAGACACACTCGTGACACTAACTAACTACGTTTGCTGGCTGGAGCCTGAAGGTACAGTCTCATTCTTGTGTTCCTAAACCTGGGTCACCCCAGGAGGAATTTTCTGAAATTCAGATCAAACGAATAATTATTCCTTACACTAACTTTGAAAAATCTTTTTGCTGTATGTCTATGGACAGGTTTCTGGTGTAGACTTTTGCTTTTCCTGAGTGTCAAAGCTGCCTTTCCTTCTTCTTGTTGACAGAAGCAACACAGGGATTCCCCACGGGAGTGCTCAGCTCTCCCAGCTCATTCAGTGTCTCGTTAACTGACTGCTCTAAGTTGACTCCTTCCTTTTCAGATCCGCTTCCAAGCTGTCTTTCTGGAATTTTCTTACTGAATCCCCTGCCTTCCTTTATCTTGGGTTTTATTTATATATATATTTTTTTAAAGTACATTTTCGGCCGGGTGTGGTGGCTCACACCTGTAATCTCAGCACTTGGAGAGGCCGAGGTGGGCGGATCACTTGAGGTTAGGCATTCAAGACCAGCCTGGCCAACATGGTGAAACCCTGTCTCTACCAAAAATATGAAAATTAGCCTGGCATGGTGGAAACGGCTGTAATCCCAGCTACTTGGGAGGCTGAGGCAGGAGAATCACTTGAACCCGAGAGGTGGAGGTTGCAGTAAGCCAAGATCACACCACTGCATCTAAAAAAAAAAAAAAAAAAAAGGACATTTTCAGGTATTTTTTTCCTCCTTTGGGAATTCTTTTTAAAATTTAATTTAATTTTAAAAGAGAGACAGGGTCTCACTATGTTGCCCAGACTGGTCTGTAACTCTAGTCTTTCAGCAGTCCTCTCACCTGGGGCCTCCCAAAATGTTGGGACTACAGGTATGGGCCAGTATGCTCAGCCTGGGAATTCTTTTCATTCATTCTGAATTGCATGTGTCTTCCACATTGTTGAGTTTCCTTGTCCTTTACTGCAGTCCATATCATATAATAATATCATGGTATATTTTTTGAAAAGTTGCATGGAAGATAACAATTTCTGGATGCTCCATGTCTGAATGTGTCTTAACTCGTTTACACATTTGATAAGAACTGGAATAGGTACAGGAATCCATGTTGAAAGAAACTTCTTCTCAGAACCTTGCTGACATTTGCCCAGCTTCCACCATCAGCATCAGAGGGCTGACAGCAAGCTCTGTGCCTGGCACAGGACATGGCTTCTCATTGCTGTAGCTTAAGGGACCTCTCTGGCCAAGGAGAAGCCACTCGACTCTGGGACTCCATCTAGCTTTCTCTTGGTTAGATGATTTCCAGTAGCTTCTTTTGCTATTAATTTTGTGAGTATTTTTACAACCTTCTAGGGATCAGGGTGAGTTATACCCAAGTGTATTAGTCAGGGTTCTCAAGAGGGACAAATCTAATAGAACATACATATATATATATATATGTATATATGAGTTTATTTAGTAGTATTGACTCACAAGATCACAAGATAAGGAGCAAGGAAGCCAGTCCTAGTCACAAAACCTCAAAAGTAGGGAAGTGACAGTCTAGCCTTCAGTCTGTGGTTTAAGGTCCAAAAGCCCCGAAGCTGAAGAACTTGGAGTCTGATGTTCGATGCCAGAAAGTTTCCAGCACGGGAGAAAGATGAAGGCCGGAAGACTCAGCCAGTCTAGTCCATCCACGCTCTTCTGCCTGCTTTTATTCTGGCTACACTGGCAGCTGATTAGATGGTGCCCACCCAGATTGAGGGTGGGTCTGCCTCTCCCAGTCCACTGACTCAAATGTTTATCTCCTTTGGGAACACCCTCACAGACACACCAGGAATGATACTTTGCATCCTTCAGTCCAATCAAGTTGACACTCAATGTTAACCATCACACCAGATATTCCTCTGAGATGTGAAATTTTCAGTACTATTCCTATGGCTTTGTTCTTTTCTCTGCCCTTATGGATAAAGGATACACTTCTGTATTTCATTTTGGAGAACATTATTTCATGCTGGTTCTAGATGAATTTCACTGGTTTACAAGAAACTTCACTGTTCTTTGAATAAAAATAAGGCAAAATCGTCAAGGGTTTTGAGACTATTTGGAAAAAAAAAGCTCGAAAAGAATGGGATGCACAAACTAGTTATTGTTGAGGCAATCAGCATCTCAACTCCTATTACACCTTAAAAATTATTTCCGCAACATAACCACACTTGCAAATCTCTTCATTTTTACACATATATACACATATTCTATATTAGCACTGAATTTTGCTAACAGCTCACATTTGCCAAGTTATTCTAACTTGTCTTATTTATGTTCAAGTTTTCATCTTTCCCCTACTGCTTGAAATAAAACTTTGTGTCATTGATTTATTTTTGTGAATGTGCACTGGGGACGTAAGAGAGGAAAATAGCAGGAGAAGTGTAAACAATGGCATGAAAGTGACGTAAGACGTGAGCCAGGATGGTCTGTAGAGTTCGGACTGTATTTGCTGAGATCGAAAGGACCAAACAGCGCTCTCAGCAAAGGTGCAAACTTAAGAAGGCTGCAATTATTAGAACATAAAGAATTTCCGGCGAGGCGCAGGGGCTTATGCCTATCGTCCCAGCACTTTGGGAGGCCAAGGCGGGTGGATCACCTGAAGTCAGGAGTTCAAAACCAGCCTGGCCAACATGGTGAAACCCTGTCTCTACTAAATACACAAAAATTAGCCGGGTGTGGGGGCGGGTGCCTGTAATCCCAGCTACTCAGGAGGCTGAGGCAAGAGAATGGCTTGAACCCAAGAGGCAAAGGTTGCCGTGAGTCAAGATCAAGCCACTGCACTCCAGCCTGGGTGACAAAGCAAGACTCCATCTCAAACTAACAACAACGACAACAACAACAACAACAACAAAGAACATAAGGAATTTTCCAGGAAAGTGAAACTCAAAACTTGACATTTGTGAAATAAATGTGAACAGCAGTATTCAATCAATTTAGCTCGGAACCGTCAATGACCTGGGGAGCACGTGAGAGTCAGTGGGGCAGATTTCCGGTACATGGACGATACCTAGAGAGGTCCTAGTCTGAAAGAATCTTCCGGATGGAAACAGGGCATCTTGTTTATACAAGCCCAGGTCTCTCACAGCAAATTCAACTGTATGTTCCTTCTCCTCTCCTGCCAGATTGCCAGTTACTTTGAGGGGAGGAATATCTTCTAAATTTTCTGAACCTCCTGGAATTTGACATATCGACTGTATTCTGGATATTTAATGAATTCTGTTTGATGACACAGGTAGAGTAAAATGGTCTTAAATCATTTTGACAGAGGTAAAAAACATTTTATTCCACACTTTACTTATTCTTTTTCTGCCTGAAGTGATTACAAGAAAAAAAAACGAATAGTTTAATTTAAAATCCAGATTGGTATGTAATTATCACAAAATCAGTGAAGTTCTTTTCAATGAAAAAAAAAAACACCAGTTCTATAATTTGGACAGACAAAATTTAGCAATAACAAAATTAAAGGTACAACCCTTAATCTATTAATTATTTAAAAATGCATCTCGAACTATTTTTCTTTTTATTTATCCCTTGTATCAATAGACATTTAATTGGCAAACAAGAACATGGAAAAATATAAACTGTAACTCACTGTAATAAACTCTAAATCAATACAAAGAGTCTAAAATGTGTTTTGACGTCCAAATGTAGCTACAGCCACTGTGTCCTGTGTTCTATAACACAGAGAAATAATACAAAATGATTAAAAAAATAAAATAAATTGAAGAGAGGCCTGTAATGTAAGGGGCGCTGTGTCACTCTCAGGCAGCAACGTGAGCCAGTGAGTCAATGCACGAGGCTCTCCTGTTTGTTGGTACTTCCTGTTCTTTCTTTATAAAATACATGGAGAACTAAATCCGCAGGATGCTCACACAAATGATTCATAGAGAAAGCTTAAAAGAATCTCACGTTGTTAATGAGCATCACAATAGGCTCTGCTCATGAGAAGGCATTTTGTTTCCGCAGAAATGTTTTTTCTTACTCTGTCCTGATTTTGATTTCTGTTTAAATTCAGTAAACACATTACCAAAATTTAAAGAAGGTGACTTGTTTTCCCCAACTCTCAGTTCACCAAAGGTATTTCATCTATTTGTTCTGAAAATGCAGCTGCTCTCTAGATGTATGTGTGCCCTGATAAGAAATGTTTTGTGTAACAATAAAAATCATTTCTTTTGATTAAAAAAAAAGAATCTCCAGTCGTTTACACTGGAAAACGAGAGAGAGCGCTTGCATACTTTCTTCACATATATTAATGGTGGGAAGAAAATGGATGTAGAGTAATAGGGCCTGAGGAACTCATAGAAGGAACCGGACATGTATGAAAAGATGATGACTGCCAGGTGGCACTGACGCAGCCTCCAGCCCCTCTATCTTAGGCTTTCGGGACATGTGCTCTCTTGCTTCCGCTGGACAGTGTCTCAATACTTTCCTCCCTAAAAGCAGGTTTTACCCTGGTCAGAGGTGCTCTTGAGGCCCAAAGAAGAGATTTCCACAAATAGTCTATAAGAGCATGTACATACTATAACTGCTTGATAAGTGAATGAATGGATGACTAAATGGAGTCAATGCTTTCATGACCTAACGTTGTGGTTATGGGTGTCACTATTCTCTTGGCAATAGTGCAATAGTGAAATAGTAAAATAGTCTAGATGTCATTAAGAACCTTCATGGAAAACATGCCGGTGGGGGAAGGAAAACAACATTCATGATTCATGGGAGGAGATAAAATAGCAACATGAAGGGGAATTTGGAAGATGCTGACGCTAGCCCTCATGGGTGATTTTGAGGGGTTCAAGTCTTCAGTGGAGGAAGTAACTGGAACTAGAATTAGAAGTGGGGCCTGAAGATGTGACTGAATTGTGGCAATCTCATGATAAATCTTGAACAGTTTACTTCTTATGGATGAACAAAGAAAGTTGTTTCTTGAGATGGCGTCTACTTCTAGGGAAGATGCCGTGAACATTGTTGGAATGACAACAGAGGATTTTTTGTTTGTTTGTTTGTTTTTTGATACAGAGTTTCCCTCTATTGCCCAGGGTGGAGTGCAGTGGCACAATCTCGACTCACCACAACCTCCACCTCCTGGGTTCAAGCGATTCTCCTGCCTCAGCCTCTCGAGTAGCTGGGATTACAGGCACCTGCTACCACACCCGGCTAATTTTTGTATTTTTAGTAGAGACGGGGTTTCACTGTGTTGGCCAGGCTGGTCTCAAACTCCCAACCTCAGGTGACCCACCCAGCTCAGCCTCCCAAAGTGCTGGGATTACAGGCATGAGCCACTGCGCCCGGCTGAAAGAATCTGAATATTACTTGTAGTTAGTTGATAAAGCAGTGGCTTTGACAGGGTTTGAGAGGAATGACTCCAATTTTGAAGGAAGTTCTACCATAGATAGAATGCTATCAAACAGCATCATGGTATAGAGAACTCTTCTTTCACACATGAAAGGAAGACTCAATTGATGTGGCACATTTCATTGTTGTCTTATTTTAACAAGTTTCCACAGCTGCCCAAACAATTTGGCAGTCAACACCCTGCCTGATCAGACAGCAGCCATCAACATCAAGGCAAAACCCTCTACCAGCAAAAAGATTATGACTTGCTGAAGGCTCAGATGATTGTTAGCATGTTTTAGCAATAAAGTATTTTTAAATTGAAGTATGTACTTTCTTAAAGAAATAATGGTAATAACACTTAATAGACTACAACATAGTTAGTTTTAGAAGCACTGGGACACCAAAATAACTGTGGACTTGCTTTACTGTGATGTTTGCTTCGTGAGGGTGGTCTGTAACTGAAACTGCATTTTCTCCAAGGTATACCCATATTTAAATAGAAAATGGACTTTCTTTTACTAAGGAGAATGGTATTTTCATTTGTCTCATTTTTGGAGGGAAACTCTAGAGAAGAAGCCAAGACATGCCCACTGTCCCTCTCCCATCCTATGGAGGCTGCCCAGTGCCAAAGAGGAAGTGGTCACTCTGGTCACTCATATACACACAGCTGGCACAATTGTCACAGTCGCTCCCCTTTGTGACAGGCTGGTGGAATGACTTACAGTTCAGCCCACCAAATATAATACAGATGAATTTAGTCATTCAGCCTCATGAGGTCACACTTTTACTGTTTTCAACAAAGCTTAAACCCCCTTCCCACATTCTGTAGAAAAAAAAGTGATGACTTCCGGGGTTGTTTTCTAGGCCATTTCTATCAGAACTCCTGCAACTCGCCAGATATTTCAACTCTTCGGAAAGCCACCTTGTGTCCATTTTATGTCCCCCAACCCTGGATAATGTCTCTGTTTTCCATGTACCTAAAAACATTGCAAAAAAATCTGCTATTCAACATATCTTGGTGTTATTGTCACTGGAGGAAAATGGAAGGAGAAAAGCAAACAGAGAGTATGGAAATAAATACCCGTCAGTATAGAAATGTAGTATATCATAAAAATGGCACTTCAAACCAGTGGGAAGCAATGGGTCATTCCGTAATACAGTACTGGAACAGGTTAATAAAAAATTACAAAGTTTAATTTAGATCTCCATTGTATTCCTTAAAAACAAAGTAAATCCCAATAAAATAAAAATTCAAGTGCGAAAAATCAAAGAAAGCATCAAAAGTATAAGAAACGATGGGCCAGGCATGGTAGCTCATGCCTGTAATCCCAGCACTTTGGGAGGCCGAGGCGGACAGATCACCTGAGGTCAGGAGTTCGTGACCAGCCTGGTCAACATGGTGAAACACCGTCTCTACTAAAAATACAAAAATTACCCGGGTGTGATGGCGGGCACCTGTAATCCCAACTACTTGGGAGGCTGAGGCAGGAGAATTGCTTGAACCCAGGAGGCAGCAGTTGCAGTGAGTGGAGATCACACCACTGCACTCCAGCCTGGACGACAGAGGAGAATCTGTCCTAAAAAAAAAAAAAAAAAGTTGGATGATGAAAAATTTTCTAAGATTGCACTGGTGATATCTTCCTTGAGCGGACGTTAAAACCAGAAGCCATAAAGTAGTAGGTGCAAACCTCTGACTACCAATAAAATGTTTAAACTATTTCTATGGCAACGTAACAAAAGCAGAAATAATCTTCTTGTAGTCTGCTCTACTGGTGGTCACCAGTAAACCATTCTTGGCAAAAGGCATGCCCCTGTACCCCCCCACCCTCGTGAATCTGAGCTGGGCCTGTGACTGGCCTTCACCAAGAGAATGTGACGGACGCTTCAGAACTTGGCCTCAGGAGTGCTGGTAGGTCCTGCATTTGCACTCCTGGACACCCCTGAACTAAGAAGTACAGCTGCAAGAAGAACACAGCACGTGGAGAGGTGGTATGGAGGGGCCACGTGGAGATAGAGAGCCCTGGAGGCTACATGGAGAAGAGCACAGAACCCAGCTGACCCAAGAACTGAGGCCCCAGGACTACAGCCCCAGTCAAGCCATTCCAGTTGGCTGCCAGCCATCCTCACCTCCTAGCTGAGCTCCAGACACCTAAGCAGATGAGGTCTCTGAGACACCACATCTCCAGCAGAACTCATACAGGAAGAGCACCACACTGTCCTCATGGGGCCCTTTCCAAATTCATAACCCTCAGAATTTTAAAAAGTAATATGTTATTTTGTTTTAAAGACATGGGATAGGCCGGGTGCGGTGGCTCATGCCTATAATCCCAGCAGTTTGGGTGGACGAGGCGGGTGGATCACCTGAAGTCAGGACTTTGAGACCAGCCTGGCCAACATGGTGAAACCCCATCTCTACTAAAAATACAAAAAATTAGCCTGGCATGGTAGCAGGCACCTGTAATCCTCCCAGGGAGGCTGAGGCAGGAGAATTGCCCAGAGGCGGAGGCTGCAGTGAGCTGAGATCACACCACTGCACTCCAGCCTGGGCAACACGAGCAAAACTCCATCTCAGGAAAAAAAAAAAAAAAAAAAAGACATGGGATAATGTATAATGTGGCAATAGATAGCTGGAACACCCAATAGTCAAACTCAAAAGAAAATCAGCAAACTGGGAAAAGACTAAGCAATACATATGCCAAGAGACTAACGTCTTAAATATGAAAAAAGAGCTTATGTGTAAATAAGAAAAAAGTCAACTCAATACAATAGGACTCAAAACTTACTGCAAAGAACAAAAACATAAGTGGTCAAAAATCATTTGAAATATGTTCAAGCTCACTCAATCTTATTGAAAAACTGAGTAATATTCTTTTACTTGCCTATTGGATTGGAAGATATTTAAAAGTTTAACAATGAATAAAATTAAATTAAGTGAAATAAAATAAAATAAAAAGCAATAACCAGAATGGAGGTGATGTGAGGCTCATGAACCACTTGTTGAGAGCAATCATTGTTTACAAAAAACCTACTATGTCTATTTATTCATTGACCCAGCAATATAATTTCTAACAATATATCTTATAAACATGATATACTCAAGGATACAGCGATACATGAACTGTTATGGACTGAATGCTTGTGTCTCCCCCAAATTCATATGTTGAAACCATTACCTCCAATGTCATGGTATTTGTAGGTGGAGCGTCTGGGAGGTAATTAGATCTATATGAAGTCATGAAAGCAGAGAACCCTTATGGGATTTGTGTCCTTATGAGAAGAGGAGAAACCAGAGCTCACTCTCTGTCATGTAAGGACAGCAAGAAGGCAGCTGTCAATAAACCACGAAGAGAGCCCTCACCAGGTTTCCAATCGGCTGGAGCCTTCGACTTGGACTTCATACCCTCCAGAATTGTGAAAAATAAATTTCTATTGTTCAAGCCACTCGGTCTATGGTATTTTGTTAAGGCAGCCAAAGCAGACTAAGGCTAGAACAAAGATGCTCATGAAGCATCATTTGTAATATCTTAAATGTTGGAAAATTCTACATGTCTACCCTTAACAACCTCATTCAATAATTTGCAACACAGCTATACAACGTAACACTGTAAAGCTTTTTATCAGAATAAGGTAGTATTATATATACTGATCTCTGAGGATGTCTAGATATTGGTAAAGTGAAAAAAAGAATAAGCTGTAAAGTAGAATTTACTGTAGGATTCTATTTGTGACCTTTTATGAAAAAGATATAGGCACATGTATATTACACACTTGTAGGCATGCATACTTCTATATTATATTTCTAAGTACACATTGGGAGCTATTCATGGTGATTATCTCTGAGGATAGGGAGTATTAGAATGGCCAACTTGGTATGAATAGGGAATAAAGAAGACTTACTTTTTATACTACACCCATCTGCACTGTTTTTTTTAACGTGAAACATGTAACTTTTATTAAAAAGAAAAAAAAATTGTGAAATGCTTCATAGTCCTTTGTGTCAAGAGCTCTGCCATAACCCAAAGCACAAAACCTAGGAGGTCTGTTGATCTTAATCTACACTTTGGCCTCATACATGGATATAGCGTGTTGGTTGGTACCATGCAAACACTGTCCCTCCTTTCTGGGTTGGAGAGGAATCAGGAGTGTTTGGAGAAAAAGAAAAGCACATCCCCTGAACTGGCAAGCGATACTCATGACCATCAGCAGCCACAGGCTCCATTAACAAGCAGGAGAGGGATGTTTCCCTGGTCTCACCAGCAATAAATGTGTCTATGGGGAAGCAAAGTTTCTAAGAAGTGCTTAAGGAACTCTAGGCATTCCTAGACAGCCCAGGCTCTGAATTTAGATGGGAGAAAAGTAGGCAGATATCACTGAAAATCATGTTGTTTTAAAATGTTCTTTTTTGCGTTGGGTGCGGTGGCTCATGCCTGTAATCTCAGCACTTTGGGAGGCTGAGACAGGTGGATCACCTGAGGTCAGGAGTTCAAGACCAGCCTGGCCAACATGGTGAAACCCCGTCTCTACTAAAAATACAAAAAATTAGCTGGGCGTGGTGGTGTATGCCTGTAGTCCCAGCTACTTGGGAGGCTGAGGCACCAGAATTATTTGAACCCAGGAGGTGGAGGTTGCAGTGAGCCGAGGTTGTGCCCTGCACTCCAGCCTGGGTGACAGAGTGAGACTCTGTTTAAAAATAAAATAAAATAAGATGTTCTTTTCAAGTTTATCGATTAATTTTCATGAACCTGAAAGGTGTTTGTGAAAGAACACCCTATTCTTATTATTCTATGTACAAAGAGAATCATATTCACTCTTAACCCTCACATCAAGACACTTACTTTGATACATTTTTAAAGGCTTGAAATCCAAAATAGAGTTTTAATTTTCTTATCAAAAAATTTCAAGCCTTTATATCAAGGTGGTAGGATTGTTCATCTCTTTTGTGTCAACCCTGTAAATGTGAGAACTGTAATTGATCTCTGCTATGCGTGAGTGACATGGAAGACCCTGAATATGTTGTAGAACCAGAACATTTTCATTACCTACATCATGCTGTGTGTCAAACAGGCATGCCAATCAGTTTGTGGATCTAAGCAGGCCATTGCACATGCAAACGTGTATGATAGGTATGACAGTTTAACTTAGCATTCTCATTTGGAAAACATTCTGGAATATGTGAATAAGTAACTGGAAAATTCCCAAATAGACATAGCATTGCGGTTCAGAAACATGAATATTTACCATTGACAGAGAGCAAGAGAGAAAGCATGCACACAAGAGAGGGTCCCCATCAAACTGAACAATGTATAAGCAAGAATCCACAGTGCAAATTGGAAGGATGATCATGGCTGCGAGGCTACAGTTATGACTAAACAACCATTGATAAATTTATTCTCGACTATATCAAATGATAAAGAAAATAGCTATGAATTTACTGAAAAAAAAGCATTATCCCTAATTAATAAGAAAAAAGAAAAAGAAAGGAACATCCAGCTCAAACACTTGTCCACCAAATAGCACAACAGATATTGAGAACACTAATATTTGGTTATAAAGGACAAGAAATTGTTAAGAAGAAAAGTAATTTCCACTTTGGTATTTCTGGCCTTATGAAGACATAAGATACATTGGGAGGATTATGGAAACATAAGTGATTGAGAGAAAATCTCATGAGAAACTTAAGAAGATGGGACTGTTTATGAAATAGGAATACCACCCATAATTGGACAAAGACAATAAAAAATTTTTCTAATTACAGTATCATTCCATAAGTATACAATGTGTATTATCAGTAGGTGAATATCATAGGCCAAATGAAAAGCAAACAAGTAAGTAAAAATATTAAGTAGAAAAATATTCTCATGAGTGATTGATATGATTACATTTGAATTTTAGAAGATGTCATTAGTGGAGATGTGAACAGAATCAGGATTTAGGATGAAGTCTGGGAAAGCTGTTATGAGGCTACTGCAATGGTCTGGGCTCTTTTGGCATTTCCTCTTTAAGCTAAAATTGGCCCTTTACTTACTATTTATTCTCTTTTCCCTGATATTTGCTCTTCTTGTTTTTAAAAAATCCTTCAATTTAATTTTAAATTTTATGGCTTTCCTCTTCTTCTACCCGGTTCCGTTCCTTACTCTGCATTGCAAATTACACAGATAGTATAAACATAGACGACGTTAGTCTTTAATTTTAATTTTTCTTTTTCTTTTTCTTTTTTTTGAGGCGGAGTCGCGCTCTGTCACCCAGGCTGGAATGCAGTGGCGCGACCTCGGTTCACTGCAAGCTCCGCCTCCCGGGTTCACGCCATTCTCCTCCTGCCCCAGCCTCCCGAGTAGCTGGGACTACAGGCGCCCGCCACCATGCCCGGCTAAATGTTTTGTATTTTTAGTAGAGAGAGGGTTTCACCGTGTTAGGCAGGATGGTCTTGATCTCCTGACCTCGTGATCCGTCTGCCTCCGCCTCCCAAAGTGCTGGGATTACAGGCGTGAGCCACCGCATCCAGCCTAATTTTTCTTTTTCTTTTTTTGAGATAGAGTCTCACTCTGCTGCTCAGGCTGGAGTGCAATGACACGATCTCGGCTTACTGCAACCTGCAGCTCCAGGGCTCAAGTAATTCTCCTGCCTCAGCCTCCCGAGTAGCTGGGACTACAGGTGTGTGCCACCATGCCTGGCTAATTTTTGTATTTTTAGTAGAGACAGGGTTTTGCCATATTGGCCAGGCTGGTCTCAAACTCCTGACCTCAGGTGATCCACCTACCTCGTCATCCCAAAGTGTTGGGATTACAGGCATGAGCCACTGCACCCGGCCGATTTTTTCATTTTTATTTCAAATTTCTGCCATATATTTTGGATTCTCTCTTTAAAAAAAAATCTGTAACATTTTAAAAGCAATTTTGGCATTAATATTTGTGGTAGTAATAAGGTTTTACATGATGGATTAGGATATGATGACAATACAATTCTTAAGGTTAACACAGCCAGGAGAATTATATGGCCAAGTGAATAGATCTTTAGACCTCTGGCTTTGGAAGCTTCTTATGAAATCCTAAGAGATTTACAGACAACAAATGTTTACAACATTTAGGCACACAACAGCATAATACTAGACACAAATACTAAGCAATATTCAGAGTCCAAATACAGCCATACTCATTTTGCTTGTAAAAATTTAGTTTTTCAATTTGCCTCCTGCTGCACAGAAGTAATATAGCAGGTGATTCATTTCCACGTTTGAACTGCTGTTAACCACAATGGGTGAAGGAGAGCGAGATGCAGGCTTCGCTGATCATGTCACCCTTGGAAGAAAGGGGAATAAAATTATAGGGCAGAATGACCTATCATATTTCCTTGACAGGTGCTAATTCACTTTGATCTATCCTTCACCATAATTTCATTGGTGGGGAGGACATACATATTTATAAGTGTGGAAACAGGCGACTGTTTTTCTGTTTGCAATTTACAACAACAAAGAATTCATTTCAATTTTCATATTAGAAGTCCCAAGGTGACCCGGGAGTAGATACCAGTCCCCTGCTGTGCGGGATTTCTAACATAATAAGGAATAAAGCACAACAACAGTACATTGTGACCTGGGCTCATGGGTAATCAATTCACATATTTACCATGGAAACAACAGTACCACGCAGAACATCGTCATTGCTTCAATTTGCTGACGAAAGCCCTCTAGAACCCAGGAAGAGTGTGCGTGAAAGCTGGCTGATTAATCTGACTTACTTATGCTTTGTTAAAGAGTTATTGTCTTAATCATAATTAACACTAAATAGTTACTCATGGAAAAGCTGCAAGAGAGATTCAGCTCTACCTCTTATGAGGCTTATGGTCTGTGATTTTCAAACCATGAGTCATCGACAAATATATACAATGAAACAGAGATTGAGCCAAATGGGAGGACACCAGGGTTTTGATTTCAGAAGTCGGATTTAGAATTTCATTTTCTATGCAAAATACTGCATGGTATACAAACACCTCTCAGGTTATATAATCATGGTGCATTATCTTTGTACCCACAAAATGCTTAACGAACTCAGTGGGGTGAGTTCTTTTTCTTCTAAGGAAGGAAAACAAAACTTCTATGCACGGGAAAACAAGCCAGTGCACGGCATGACTAACACAATGCCATGTAATTAGGCAAAAGCTTTGAATAGACATTTCACTTAACGAGATATACGACTGGGTTAATAAGCACATGGATAAGATGTTTAATATGACTAGTAATTAGAGAACGTCTATAATGAACAAGTTGACAAAATCTAGTGTCGGTGAGGAAGTAGAGAAACTAGAAACCAACACCCCCGCTCCCCACCACCACCTTTTGCTGGTGGGAATGCAAAATATTGCAGCCACTTGAAAACATTCGAGCAATTTCTGAAACTGTTAAGCACACGACTGTTAGAGCCAGCAATTCCTCTCCTAGGTATCCAACTGAGGAGAAATGAAAGTGCAGATCCACACGAAGAGTTTTACGCCATGTTCACAGTGTAACTCACAATAACAACGCAAATGTCCATCTACTGGTGAATGGATAAACAAAAGGTATCGTATCCTTGCAATGGAGTTTTGCTCATCAAGAAGAGTTTCACGTACAATAACTTTGAGAAAAATCTCAAAATTACGCTGAGGGAAATAAGACTGACAAAAGATTACATAGCATTTGATTCCATTTATCTAACATTTCTAGAAAAAAAGACAAAACTCTATAAGCAGACAGTTGATCAGTGTTTGCCTAGGGCTGAAGGTGGGAGTGAGGATGGCTCAAATATGCATCGAAAAACTTTTTAGGGTTTATTTTTCTGAAACTGGATTGTGATAACTGGTTGCCCAATTATAAATGTGTATTAGAAATGATCGAACTGGACATATACCTGGAGGATTTGCATGATGTGTAAATTATACCCCAATAAAGTTATTGGAATTCAGTAAGAACATAGCTTGCTCTAGATGGTTAAAGGTTTCAGTTGTTCCTGTTATAGGATCTTACCATTATGAACTGTCATCTTCCCAAACCAGTGAAGTCTTAGCAAGTGCTGGAAATACAAATAGGTTCACAATTTAAAGGGGCAGCTGGAGCCTCAGTACTCCATCAGTAATATGTATTAAGACATGCCACAGAGCAAATGCTCACAGTGAAAAGTGCTGGGGAGACTGTACAGGGGTCTACTACATGTGATTAAAGAACTGTGTCAGATGGCATTTCAACAGCTTTGTAAGTGATGACAGGGACACAGGTAAAGTTGAAAAATCACATTCCTATCCTCCTTAGGACAGATAGTAAGCATACGTTTTTAATTACTGTCATGAGTCGCTTAACCACATGGATACATTCTGAGAAATAGGTCTTTGTGTGGACATCACAGAGCATACTTACACAAACCTAGATGGTATCACCTGCTACAAACCTAGACTGGATGGTAGAGCCTTTTGCTGCTGGGTTAAAAACCTGTACAGCATGTTACTGGACTGAATACTGTTGGAAACCATAACACCGGCTGGGCGTGCTGGTTCACGCCTATAATCCCAGCACTTTGGGGTGCTAAGGCAGGCGGATCACTTAAGGTCAGGAGTTTGAGACTAGCCTGGCCAACATGGTGAAACCCTGTCTCTACTCAAGGTACAAAAATTAGCTGGGTGTGGTTGTGCAAACCTGTAATCCCACCTACTTGGGAGGCTGAGGCATGAGACGTGCTTGAACCTAGGAGGTGGAGGTTGCAGTGAGCCAAGATTGTGCCACTGCACTCCAGCCTGGGCCACAGAGCAAGACTCTACCAGAAAAAATAAAAAAGGAAACCATAAAACAATGGTAAGTAGATGCACAATGTCTATCTAAACACATGTGAACATGGAAAAGGTACAGTGAAAATACAGTATAAAAGATAAAAAACATGGTACCCCTGGGCCGGGCGCAGTGGCTCATGCCGGTAATCCCAGCACTTTGGGAGGCCGAAGTGGATCACGAAGTCAAGAGATTGAGACCATCCTGGCCAACATGGTGAAACCCCGTCTCGTCTCTACTAAAAATACAAAAATTAGCTGGGTGTGGTGGTGTGTGCCTGTAATCCCAGCTACTCCGGAGGCTGAGGCAGGAGAATCGCTTGAACCCAGGAGGCGGAGGTTGCAGTGAGCCAAGATAGCGCCACTGCACTCCAGCCTGGCAACAGAGTGAGACTGTCTAAAAAAAAAAAAAAAGAAACGTACCCCTGAATAGGACACTTACTGTGAATGGAGCTTACAGTACTCCAAGTTGCTCTCCTGATTCAGTGAGTGAGTGAATGTGAAGGCCTAGGACATTATTGTATACCACTGTAGACGTTATGAACACTGTACATCTAGGTTACACTAAATGTATACAACAAAGTTCCTCAATAATAAACTGACCTTGGCTTACTGTAACTTTCTGACTTTATACACTTCTTAATTTTTAAAACTCTGACACTTGTAATAACACTTAGCTTAAACCACAAACACATTGTACAGCCATATAAATATATTTTCTTCCTTTATATCTGTATTCTATATGCTTTTTTTCTGTTTCTAAATTTGTAAAACTTTTTAAACTTTTTGTTGAAAACTAAGACACTGACACACACATTAGCCTAACAGGGTCAGGATCATCCATATCACCATCTTCCACCCCCATATATTGTCCCACTGGAAGGTCTTCAGGGGCAATGACATGCATGGACCTGTCATTTCCTATAACAATGCCTTCTTCTGGAAATCCTCCTGAAGATCCTGCCTGAGACTGCTTTACCGTTAACTTATTTATAAGTAGGAGTATACTCTAAAATAGCAATAAAAAGTATACAATATACATAAACCAGTAACATAATTATTCATGACCATTATCAAGTATTATGTACTGTACTTCATATGTGCTATACTTTTATATGACTGGCAGCACAGTTTTGTTTACACCAGCACCACCACAAACATGAATAATGCCTTGAGCTACTACATTGCAACAGCTACAGTGTCACTAGGCGATAGGAATTTTTCAGCTCCACTATAATTGTATGGGACCACCATCCTGTGTCTGTCATGGACTGAAGTGTCATTGTCATTATACAACACCTTACTGCACTCAAATGACCTCCTGCTTCACCCGTAAAGGAAAATCATCATCAGTGTAGCCTGTAGCTATAGGATGGTGAAGTTCACTAACTTGCCAGCCAGTCACTGTGTTGAAATTTGGTAGAACGTCATCCTCTGAGCCACTCCTAAATCTTAGTGGGAACACAAGTAGCACAGGATAGGCTGACAACTGAAGTGAAAGCAGATAGAAGGAACTTTTCAACCTCTCTTGTAGAACAACATTTCAATTACCAGAGAAAGTGGATTCTCTGGGATGCTACAAGGCAGATGTCAGCCTCAATTGGTTAAATCTGAGAAACATTGACTGAATTTCTCAAAAACAACAGGGAATCCTGCATCTAATTCCAATTCATGTTTAAAAAGCCCAGAAAATTAAGTTACATACAATAAGGCAAGTAATACATTATTACCATTTTGTTGCCACTCAGGATTCAAACAAAAGAGACTCCAATAAACCCCCTGTTGTCAAATGCAGAAGATGAAATTGGCAGAGTGTCAACTTCTACAGAAGGCCTCACTTCTCTTCCTTGTTCTAGCTATTTCCTGCTTGTCTTTTAAAATTCCTATTACGTCTTATGGTTTTGAAAAATATTTTCCTGACCCCTCAGTGTGTCCCCACTTTCAGCCACCTTACTTACAGTCTGATTCAGAGGTTCCATTGTTTTGCCCTGGTATGCAAAATGGATGTCTATCATTTCTCACATTGCATGCAAACAAATATTAGTTTACTTTTTTCTCTCATATTAGAAATCTGTTAAGGGAAGGGGGAAATACATATGTGTGTGTATATATACTTATATTTGTACACGTGCACATACATATAAGTAAATTTGCTTAATTACCTAGGTGCTGAACCAGAATTTCATAAATTATTTGTGGGGATATAATATAAGTACATGAGGTAATTCCTACATGAAATGGAGTAACTAACATAGGTCAGCATTAAGTTGCCATTAAAAAGTTCCAAAGTATGCATTACTCATGTTTGGATACCATGTAACCTGTAATGAGATCTGAATTCTGGAAATACAGGCAATGATTACAGGAGTCTAAGAATAAAGAAGCCAGCATAAGCCTAAAAAATAAAGAGAAGGTTTTGGAGAAGTTGGAGTTTTGTTTTTAATTTTCATACATCTTGGATTTTATAGCAAACTCAATTAACTAATTAAAAATTAGACTCAATTAACTCATAAAAAATGCATGTTCTTATGCTGTGATCATATTTCACAATTGCAGTTTAAACAAAACCATGACTCACTATGCTGACGTTATGTCCTGGTGCTGCCACCTATGGACACCAGGTCACAGCTCCCTCCAGGCTGGCAGGCATCTTGCAGCATGGCTGGAGGATCCTCCCATGTGGCCTCCCTGTTCCTGATCTCAGCAGCTTGTTTCCCACACCTTCAAGTGTACATTTCCTCAGGTCACTCCATAGCATACAATCCTCCACTGAGTGAATCCCCATCACACATATAAAGTAGATTCTGCAGTTGGGGGCCAGTGCCGGGGCTCATGCCTATAATCCCAGCACTTTGGGAGGCTAAGTGGGGCAGATCACCTGAGGTCAGGAGTTTGAGACCAGCCTGGCCAACACAGTGAAACCCTGTCTCTACTAAAAATACAAAAATTAACTGGGCATGGTGGCACACGCCTGTAGTCCCAGCTACCAGGGAGGCTGAGGTGGAAAAATTGCTTGAACCCGGGAGGTGGAGGCTGCAGTGAGCTCTGATCACACCCTGCCTCAATAAATAAATAAATAAAATAAAGTAGATTCCTCCTCCTCTTCTTTTTATTTGCAAAATATTGCAAACTCATAAAAAGTTATTAAAATTGTACAAAAAACTGTTCTTCACCTAGGTTAACCACTTGTTATCAATTTTGTGAGATTTCCTCTTTCTGTCTCTACTTACATATAATGAATATAACATAGTTATTACTATATGTATAACTGTATTGTTATTGTTGCTATGTAGCGTCTGAGTTCTTAGAGAGTAATTTGCAAACATCACGATCCTTTACCCCCTAATTGTTTAGTGCCTCCTAAGGAGGAGGACACTGTTAGGTAACTGCAGTACAATCACGAAGTTCAGCTGGTGCAGATTCTGAATGGAACTTGCGAGACCCTTCAGAACGTGGCCCACCTGGCTTCCTCTTTCCCTGTCTGCCTGGTACTCTTTGTACTTTGCCTAGGAAAGAAACGGCCATTCCTTGCTATCCTCCATTGCTTTGTACACACAGCCCCTGCCTTTCAAGCATTTTTCCCATTCTCTTTCCTCAGCTGAGTTCACTATTGTTTCTGTGTCTGGACTTGAATCCAGGCTCTGGCGCTTCGTAGTTATGGGACAATGGGGAAGTTACTTAACCTCTCTGGGGCTCAGATTCCTCGTCTGTGAAATGGGATTAGAAAAAGAAACTGTCTCCTGGGATTTATTGTGGGGTTAAAGTCAGATATTTTAGGTCAAGAGCTAAAGAATACCTAGGAAAAAGTAAGCATTCAAAATCTACTTACTGCCCCTATCACACTACCATCATCACCAATCACTTCTCGGGCCTCATCTTTAACCTCACACACTCCAGGAAGGCCTCACTGATCCTCAAATATGAATCCAATGGCCCAGACTGTGTGCTTAGGTACCCTGCATTAAAATGACCTACTATAATTTACTGGAAGTATTTTCTATTTGTTTCCTCCTAGTTTGCGTTTAATGTCTTTTCCACAGTGACTAAGTCTGACTTGGTCAATTTTGAAAGGCTAGTATTCAGCATAGTGCCTGACACACAGCAAGATTTTAATAACTACTCACTGAATCTATAAATGAATTTCAGTAATTCAGAATTCAGAATGAATTTCAGAGTCTAATGGCCGAAATAATTTTCCCAAACTCGGCTGACAATTGATTTTTCAGGGGAAGTCCAGATAGGTTAAGAGCAGAAAAGGTGACTCATTCTTCAGGGGCTCAACACCCATTCCCCACTGCCCAGGGAAAGTGTTTGCATGCCATGTGAAACTTCAAGCAAGCTAGTTTTTAAGCTGTTAAAAAAAATGAGGGAATTAATTGTTCTGAGCAGTTTCTCACCATCTCCACAGCATTAAATTCAACATTCGATTTGCTTTTCAAACACAGTTAACAGGCAGGAAGATGAGATAATCTATTTCAGTGAAAATGTAAACTGTGGAAGTACCCTGTGAGTAAACTAGGGGAGAGAGTCCCTCCACAAACAAGAACCACGGCTGCCCGTGGGGAGGCTGGGAACATGCCCAGAATTCACCTGGCATCACTGTTGAGGTCAAATGTTAAGACTTGCTGGGAAAAAAATATTGTTGTTGTTGTTTTTTGGTGAATCCAGAGGAAGGAAACATATTAAAATTCTAATGAATGACTAAAGTGAAAATGCTTTACAGGCTTATGAATGAAAATTTTCCCAAATTTTTCCTTATATAAAGATTATGCATACAAATTTAAATACCACAAAATCCAAATATAAAACAATTTATGATGGGCTAATATAAAATTACACTTTTTCAATATGATAGAATTGCATCTTTGACTTTATAGAAATGTTGTTTAAAAATGTCTTTAGAGGTCAGGTGCGGTGGTTCAGGTGTGTAATCCCAGCACTTTGGGAGGCAGAGGCAGGCGGATCATGAGGTCAGGAGATGGAGACCATCCTGGCTAACAGGGTGAAATCCCGTCTCTACTAAAAATACAAAAGATTAGCCGGGTGTGGTGGCGGGCGCCTGTGATCCCAGCTACTCAGGAGGCTGAGGTAAGAGAATCGCTTGAGCCCGGGAGGTGGAGGTTGCAGCGAGCTGAGATCGTGCCACTGCACTCCACGCTGGGCGATAGAGTGAGACTCCATCTCAAAAGAAAAAAAAATGTCTTTAGAAACTCCTATTTATATACAAACTGATATCTAAAGGAAGATCCATTTTATACTTCATTAGTGTAACTTTCAGTTACATGGAGTTGTAACTAAGTGCATTAAAGATACAATTGAACTTATTCCCAGATGTCAAGTGTCCCTGCCAAGATTTAAATCCAATCACAATATGAATGATGTTTAGGAGATTCAATGGGGATAAAACAAACAAACAAACAACATGGAAGACATCCTCCTTCTTTGCTAGTTGATGATGAAGAAAATAAGGGCAGCTACTATGCTTTACTAGGCACTTACCACATGCCAGACACTGTGCTGAACTCTTTATATGTCTCGTCTCCTCCCCACGAGACTCATTTAAGGTTTGTATTTATTATTCCCAATTTAAAATTAAGAACATTGGAGCTGAGAGAGGTCAAATAGCTTTCTCTAAACCACTCAGCTAGTAAACGGTGCAGTAGAAGCTGAAGTAAGTTCTGTAATCTATTTTAGGAACTTTTCAAAACGAACTGTTCTGTTTGAAAGTTACGGAGAGTCTACCTCTAAGTAAATGGGAGTGGTGAACACTTAGAATGACAAGGAACTGCCACTTCGTTCTTGACCTGTAGAAAGGCAGTCGGTGAGGGAGACATGCTATGATCTATTCGGTAGTCCTAAAAGAGACTCATACTTATATACCTAAATACGCAGGTCAAGACCTGGGCGAATTTCCCTATTATATATTCCTGTAGCTGAGTGATGATTCCTTTGTAGCGGGAGTCGCAGATTCAGTTTCATCTGTCTGTTGTGGTTATTAGACTGAGGTCATCTCCCTCACTTGACTTACCCTCCAAGAAAACAGGGAACTTATCTGGCTTGGCGCACACTGTCTCTTCAGCCCTGGAGCACTTTGTAAAGATGAAGTACTGAATAAATATTTCAGAATGAATGCATAAGGGAAATGTGTGTTCAGAGGGCTGCAGCAGTTGAGTTCTTAATACATCGACCCTTTCAACACATTCCTGGGGCCTGGTGACCTCTACCAAGGCTACCTTCATGTTCGTCTTATCCCTGTTGCAGCAATTTGCAAATTGAGGAATATATAATCTAGTGAGTTTTAGGTCTGGTTGCACTCTAGTTGCAGTCTAAGAAACAGGTGAAAGAGCATATTTTAAAATGAAAACATAGGAGAGTTCTTTGAAACTGAATCTAAGTCCAACAAGCCTACGAGAGATATAACTGTCTTTCTCTATAAGACATTCAAATGAGCTCTGAAGTGGTACAACAAGGGCAAGTAGTGGCAAACCCTGGGAATCTTCTAGCAGAGGCAAATAAATTCAGCCTTTAGAGAAAATCCCTCTAAATTTTGCTTCTCCTTTTTAAAAGACAATAAGTTACATTTTGATAAACAAGGCTCAGATAAATGAGAACATTTAATTCTAAAGGATACCTGTTCTAGAATGACTGGTGGGCAGAAAATTACAGTTTTAGATACTTCGTGTGTGTGGGAGAAGATACTATACACTAAAATGAAAAAAAAATACACATACACATGGGAGTTGTTTTCTAGTTTGCCAATGATAGTTTGTTAACCAGTATTTTCCTTCCTTAGTAATCTTTTTATAAGTGAATTTGTGTATTCTCCAAACCCACTTGCATGTACATGCTTTTACTCATATATTTTGAAGAGGATTGCAAAGTGTCTGAAGAACTACGAAGGAGCTTAATCAAAACCGTGAATACATCACTACGTCTTACATACAGGAAAATTAGGCCTCCATATTTTTAAGCTGAAAAAATGCTGAAGAATAAATAAGGGGTAAAGAGGAATACAAACACTACATTAACTTACAGGGTAAAATAACTTACACTTATAACTAGAATAGAAGAAAATCAAAAGTCATGTTAACAAAAAGCAAAGATGATAATAGAGTCCACTTTAATTATATTTGAATTAGAAAATGGCTAAGGGAAATGTTATTAGTTTTAAAACAGAAAAGACATTTTTACGACTGAAATTTAAAAGAAACATATTTTAGGAAATCAATCTAAACAATAATTTCATCTTTAATGGAAATGAGAGTAGTTAGAATTTTTTAAGTGGTTACTAAAAAATTACTTTGCTTGAACTTGGGAGGCGGAAGTTGCAGTGAGCCAAGACCCTGCCACTGCACTCCAGCCTGGGCAACAAAGTGAAACTCTGTTTAAAAAAAAAAAAAACTTTACAAAAATAAACAGTACCATAGTAAATGTCTCAATGAAATTATTTTAGAGTGAAGAACTTTAGATAAAGTTACTGAAGAAGCATAAAAAATATTAGAACAATCTGTATATCATTGTTAAGGAAAAGAGTGAACAAGGATAACATTTATGTTTGCTTACTGTTGTAGACCAAATATTTGTTCCTTCCCCAAATTCATATTAGGAAATACACCTACTATGATGGTACCCCTGGGAGACGGGGCCTTTGGAAGGTGATTAGGTCATGAGGATACAACCTTCATGATTGGGATTAGTGTCTTTATGAAAGTTGCCTTCTGCTATGTAAGGACATAAGGAGAAAGTGGTCTGCAACCCAGAAGAGAGCTCTCAGCAGAGCCTGACCTTGCTGGCACCCTGATCTTGGACTTCCAGCCTTCAAAACTGTCAGAAATAAATATCTGTTGTTTATAAGCCATTTAATTGTGATATTTTGTTATGGCAGCCTGAATGGATAATGACACTTATTATTAATATTTGGGAAGATAGGGAAAAATAATTTATGATGGTTAAAAATACAGATTTGTAGGAGGAAATAAAGCACAGCTTTGAAAGACAAATCATACTCGATCAGGTAAATTCCCTTTATGACTCACTGTGTAGATTAGAAGAGGCAGGAGATTTAATATTTCTTAGCTTCATAAAGTCCTTGGTTTTATTCCACAGGATTTAGTCATAAATAAGTGAATATATATTTCAGCCCTACAAGAAGTTAAGTGGTTCCGTATGGACTAGGGTGGGAGGTGAGATAAGATAGAAAATATAACAATCATCAGAATATATAACATATAACAAGATACTATTTGCCAGACGCCATAGTATAGTATCTTACACATTATTTCCTGGAATTACAACAGCTGACCTAGTGAGGTAGGTGTTTTTATTTTAACTTTCACCTAGGAATAAACTGAGGGTCAGAGTGTAGTTAAGAAACTTGATCAAGGTCACATAAGTCCCAAGTGGCAGGGCTGAAATCTGTTGATTTTTCAAAGCATCTTTCTGCCCCTAAGCCTTTGGAGTTAACATGGGGACTCATGAGAGCATTTCTTAAAAACTTGTCTTGGATCTAATTGGAATAGGCTCAAGCACCTCAAAAAGTTAAACACACAATTACCAAATAATCCATTAAGTCCACTCCCATGTATATACCCCAAAAAAGTACAAACGAGGACTCAAACCCACACTTGTATAGATATATTCACAGCAGCAGTATTCACGATACCCAGAAGGTGGAGGTACTCCAAATGCCAATCAACAGGTGAATGGATAAACAAAATGTGGCATATATATAAATGGAATATTATTTGGCCATAAAAAGTAATAAAGGATTTCTATATATGACAACCTGGATGAACCTTATAAACATTATGCTAAATGAAAAAAACACAAAATCACAAGTATTATATAATACGATTCCTTTTATATGAAATGTCCAGAATAGACACAACTATAGAGATGGAAAATAGCTTAGTGATTGCCAGAGACTGAGAGATAGAAAGTAGCTTAGTGATTGCCAGAGGCTGGGAAGACAGGGAAATGGACTAACTGCTTAATGTGTATGGAGTATTATTTTGGGGTGATGAAAATATTTTGAAACTAGATAGAAGTGGTGCTTGCACAGCATGGGAAAGGTACTTAATGCTACTGGATTGTTAATTCTAAAATGTTTAGTTTTATGTGAATTTCACCTCTTTTTTTTTTTTTTTTTTTTTTTTGAGACGGAGTCTTACTCTGTTGCCCAGGCTGGAGTGCAGTGGCATGATCTCAGCTTACTGCAACCTCTGCTTACCAGGTTCAAGTGATTCTCTTGCCTCAGCCTCCCAAGTAGCTGGGTTTACAGGCACACGCCACCACACCTGGCTAATTTTTTAGTAGAAACGGGGTTTTGCCATGTTGGCCAGGCTGGTCTCGAACTGACCACAAATGATCTACCTGCCTCACCCTCCCAAAGTGCTGTGACATAGGCATGAGCCACCATGCCTGGTCTCACGTCAATTTTTTTAAAAGGCTCAAAACACTTCCTAAAATTATGAAGCCCAAGAATAATGTCTGCAACCCATGAATGCATAAGGCAAAGGAAATAATGGGATTCCTTGTTTTCATAATTGAATAAACAAGGAAGGTGTTCCCTTTGCCTTGCACAGACTGCATTTTCAGTAAAATGGAAAATTGTTGGCAATGCCACTGAATTTACCTGTTGGCAATGCCACTGAATTTACCTGAAGCCAGCATTCTCTCTTGGACAGAAATAAAACAATGAGCCATACTGGGGTTCAGACAGCCTGGGTTCCAGTCCCAGCTCAAGGAAGAACTAGGTGAACTAAGGAGTTCACAACCTGACATCTTGGTGTCTGTTTATTTATCCATAGATGTGAGTGAAATCAGGCCAGATGGATGAATGATTGCTACATTATCTTCTAACCTAAAAAAATTTATAAGTTAATATTTTATGAAATGAAACAAATTGTGATTTCATCTTGTATATAATAGATACAATAATAAATAGTGTCCAGAAAGCACTGGGAGCAATACATTAGGAGTGATGTATGATGTGCAGACAAAAATGAGAAGATTGTTCTTCAAACATTGTCTGGGGACGAAACAAGTCATCATGGATCACAGGTTTACACAATTTAGTAATCTACTTAAATGCAACAGTTCTCAGTAGAATATAGCATTTCACTCTTCACCTACATGGCTGAGTACCTCGTTGTAATACTAAATGTTCTTGCCCATTGTAGAAACTCATATGTATTGCTGAATAATCCTGACACTGAATCATTGTGGTAGGCAGAATAATGGCTCCCAATGATGTCTATGTCCAAATTCAAAAACCCTGCAAATAGGAATATGTTACTTTACATGGCAAGGGGAAATCAAAGTTGTAGATAATAATCAGCTGATCTTCAGATATGATGAGGATCCTGAATCACTTAGGTAGTAGCAATATAATCACAGGATCCTTAAAAGGTAGAAGGGGAAGGCAGGATAGTCAGTGTCAGAGTGACACAAGAAAGAGTCCACCGGCTACTGTTGGCCATGAGGATGAAAGGGGCCATGGGCCCAGGAATGGCAGCACCTCCAGAACCTGGAAAGCACAAGGAAATGGACTCTCCCTGAGAGCTTCCAGAAGGAACGTAACTCTGCCAACACCTTGATTTTTAGGACTTCTGACCTACAAAACTTGAAGATAATATACATGTGTTATTTTTAGCCACTACATTTGTGGTAATTGGTTATAGCAGCTGAAAAAATATATATAATAGGTTGTTTTTGAATGAACGAATGAATGAACTCATGGATGTGGGAGGTCAAAGTAGACACGGCGGCTGGGCGTGGTGGCTCACGCCTGTAATCCCAGCACTTTGGGAGGCCGAGGTGGGTGGATCATTTGAGGTTAGGAGTTTGAGGCCAGCCTAGTCAACATGGCGAAACCCTGTCTCTACTAAAAATACAAAAAAATTAGCTGGGCATGGTGGTATGTGTCTGTAGTCCCAGCTACTTGGGAGGCTGAGGCAAGAGAATTGCTTGAACCTGGGAGGTAGAGGTTGCAGTGAGCAGAGATCACACCACTGCACTCCAGCCTCCAGTCCAGTAGACATGGCACCCAGCACCCCCAGAGGCATTGTGTGAAGTTCCAAGAAGGTACTGGAAGGTGAATTTGCATCTATATCTATCCCTTGATATTGAACTTCCCAGCCTCCAAAATTGTAAAAAGTAGATTTCTTTATCAATTACCCAGTCTGCGGTATTCTGTTATAGTGACACAAAATGGGCTGAGGCACTGACCAACAAAAATTGTCCTGAGAAAGACAGGGGCACCTATTTTAATAATGGCATGAGAACAAACACCATTCTGAAAGAAAGCAAAGGGTTTCTCTGAGTTTTAAAAGCACACAAAATATTTAATAATAGATTATAAGTATTGATGATGAAGACTACTTATGGATTATTTGTACTTTCCCCTATGGAAAGCAGAAAGATTTTAACTATGGTTATCAAAATATATTATGATAAAATGTTGGAGGAGAATTTAGCACAAAACTGTGATTTCAAGAGAATAAAATGATTTAATTTCTTACCGATTAGGAGATTGTAGAGGAGAAGAAAACAATTCATCCATCGAAGGCAATGCTATCATGGAGTTTAGCAGGAACTTAAGTGAATGCTTTAGTGAAAATCATCAACCATATGTGACTACTTTAAAAAGCCTAAAAATGTTTTTTAATGCTAAAGTTCACAGAAAATAAACTTCTAATCCTTTAAATATGTTAGATTAAAATATTTTTATTATAAAAAATTCAGAAATATTTAAAAAAATCTCAGTTAACATAATTAAGATTAATCTTGGCAATGTGAAAAAAACACAGTTGTCTTTTCTCTGATGTATCGTGTTAATTAAAAAGCAAACATACATATTGTTTTATGTTGGGTTATGTTTCCGAAACAGTTCAAATATGCTTCCTCCCACATAATGTTTAAGATCATAAAAAATATAAATTTTTGTTCATTGAATATTTATATTTTTATATCAACTATAATTATGTTTTCCAGAATATCACCTTAAAAATGCTTTCCAAGATCTTTAGGCAAGTTAAAACCTTGAAGTAATATTAAATTAATTGAAAATCATTTGATACTCAGAAAATTTCAAAGTAAGATAAAAAGAATACTGAAACATTAACTACTAAGCATAATTTTAAGTTTGTATACTTTTATTTTTATTTTTACATGCTCGAGGGAAGCCAAATCTTTAGCTTATGTTAATGACCATTTTCATTTTTGCCACTTTGCAAAGCGAAAAAAGGATGTGTGTAGCTATAAAAAAATTATGTTTTATGTGTCTCTGACTTCTGCTAGTCAGCTAGAATGCTTATGTACAACACACAATCTCAATTATCTGTCAAGTATCTTGCTGAAATAGCAATTATAGTTATATAGATGGTTACAACTATACTAGCAGAAAGAGTGAGAGAAAAAGAAAAACATATTTATGCTTTTTTTTTTCAAGAACAAAGACTGGTTTTTGAATAAAGCAGCAGTTCTCAACATCTTTTCTCTCCATCCAGTAGATTCTTAAAAATTACTCAGGAATCTAAAGATGTTTTGTTTCTGTAGTTTATAATGTGGGTTATAAGTATCAATATTTGATGTTTTAAATCACTAAAACCAGCCGGGTGTGATGGCTCACGCCTGTAATCCCGTCACTTTGGGAGGCGGAGGCAGGCGGATCACCTGATGTCAGGAGTTCGAGACCAGCCTGGCTAACATGGTGAAAGCCCATCTCTACTAAAAATAAAAAAGTTAGCTAGGTGTGGTGATGCACATCTGTAATCCCAGCTACTTGGAAGGCTGAGGCAGGAGAATTGCTTGAACCTGGGAGGCAGAGGCAGCAATAAGCTGAGATCAGCCACTGCACTCCAGCCTGGGTGACAGAGCGAGACTCCGTTTCAAAACAAAAACAAAAACAAAACTGAGAAAATAAAATATATATTTATTAATGTATTGGGAAATAACAATGTTGACTCCATTAGATAATAATGTAAATAACATTTTCTTAAAGAAAATTTGTATGAGAAAAATGACAACCTTGAACATTTTTACAAAAATATCCTGAATGTTTGGCTTAATAGACAACTGATGGGTTTTCAAGTCTGCTTCTCCATTTAATCTCTTCTGGTCATATAGCCTCTGAAAAACTCCGTAGCTTAGTATTGTTATGAAAATAACTTTGGTGTCACAGTTCCCCTGCAAACATTTCAGGGAACCCCAGAAGTCTTCAGACCACACTTTGTCCTAAAGTGTCTGTCTGTCCTACAATGTAAATGAAGCTCACAGTTCCCCTGCAGACATTTCAGGGAACCCCAGAAGTCTTCAGACCACACTTTGTCCTAAAGTGTCTGTCTGTCCTACAATGTAAATGAAGCTCACAGTTCCCCTGCAGACATTTCAGGGAACCCCAGAAGTCTTCAGACCACACTTTGTCCTAAAGTTTCTGTCTGTCCTACAATGTAAATGAAGCTCACAGTTCCCCTGAAAACATTTCAGGGAACCCCAGAAGTCTTTGGACCACACTTTGTCCTAAAGCGTCTGTCTGTCCTACAGTGCAAATGAAGTACACCACTTGGAGAGTGAATTGGACTTGTGTTGGTTTATAATGCTGATATGGTTAGGCTTTGTATCCCTGCCCAAATCTCACCTTGAATTGTAATCCCTGTAATCCCCATAATCCCCAGGTAACGAGAGAGACCAGGAAGAGGTAATTGAATCACGGGGGCGCTTCGCCATGAAGTTCTCATGATAATGAGCCAGTTTTCAGGAGATCTGATGGTTTTATAAGAGGCTCTTCCCCTTTCCCTCAGCACTTCTCTCTCCTGTCGCTTTGTGAAGAAGATGCCTGCCTCCCTTTTGCCTTCCATCATGATTGTCATTTTCTTGAGGCATCCCCAGACATGTGGAACTGTGAGTCAATTAAACCTCTTTCTTTTATGAATTACCCAGTCTTAGGTAGTATTTTTATAGCAGTGTGAGAATGGATTAATACAAATGCCTACATATATCTAAAAAGAAACTACAAAGATACATCAACATCAAAATTTTAGCAAAAATTACTTAACTTCAATGGGTTTGCTTCATTGGTTTACTGATTAGGCCTTGACCCACAATATGAAAAAATGTCCAGTGAAAGCAAATTCCTCTGCCTTCTGTCTAATCTGCCTACAGAGCAGAGATTCTGTGTCTCATCAGAATAGTTTTCTGTGATTTTAGATGACTTTATTATGCCCTTGATTATTTAAGGGCAAAAAATGTTGCCTCACTTAAGGAAGAGCTAAGATTCTTTACAATTGTCTTTATCCTCTATGTTTTATGCTTGTATTTTAAATATATGTTGTTACTTTGAGAGACAGGTTTTTTCCCCTCACTTATTCACGATCCTGTATTAATCTAGTAAAACAATCTCCTCTGACAATTATTAATTTTAACTTCCCAACATTGAACCCCAAATTTAGATAAAAAATAGAAGTTTCAGGATGTTTTTTTCTCCCTAAAACTAACTTTGAGATCTCCCAAATGGCCCTGGAAAATCACCAAAGCTTGTTCTTTCAACTTATAAATAGATGCTAGAAATAATTAGGTCTGTCTAATGTGTTATTTTAAGAGTTGCACAGGAAGAATTTTCAGATCTGAAGAAACACTAGCCTCCTCTAGGTTAAGTTTGCAAAATCTTATTACTATAAACATTTCAGAAATTGTATGCTTTATGGAAAGTCTCTGGTGCCCTTTCTGCCCACCATATGAGGAAACTTCAAAAGTTCACAGAAAATGCATATTATAGAAAAACTACGCATGGATTCCAATTTTTGTGCCAAAATAAACTCATACTAATTTGTTACAATGTGTCTGAGTAGGATCCAGTTTGAGGCACTAAAGAGGATAAGATGGTCAGGTGTGGTTGGTTGCTCACACCTGTAATCCCAACACTTTGGAGGCCAAGGAGGGTGAATTGCTTCAGCCCAGGAGTTTGAGATCAGCCTTGGCAACATGGTGAAACTCCATCTCTACTAAAAATACAAAAAATTACCCAGGTGTGGTGGTATGTACCTGTAATCCCAGCTACTAGGGAGGCTGAGGTGGGAGGATTGCTTAAGCCGGGGAAGTTGAGGCTGCAGTGAGCTGAGATCATGCTACTGCACTGCAGCTTGGGCAACAGAGCAAGACCTTGTTTCCAAAAAAAAAAAAAAAAAGAAGAAGAAGAAGAAGGATAAGACGTGAGTATGAAAAGAGTCCCTATCAGAGCAACATGAATTCTGCTAAAATCCAAGCAACTTACAGTGAAACTTAGGTGAAAAAATAGTGAAATCACTGATGTTTCTTGAAAATTTTATAACGACAATGCCCCAAAGAAATGAGCAGTTTACAAATTGATAACTCCTGTTTAGAAGGGATGAGATGATGTTGAAGAGGAAGCCTGCAGCAATAGACCATCCACATCGATTCACAGGTGAAAAATTCATCCTGTTTGTACCCTAACTGAAGAGGAACAATGACTAACAGCACAAACAATAGCCAATGCCATAGACTTCTCAGTTGGTGTAATTTACACAATTCTGAGTGAAAAATTAAAGTTGAGCAAGCTTTCCTCTTGAGGGGTAACAAAACTCTTGTGCCTAGATTAGTGACAAAAGTGGAGCTTTCAATGGAAATTTTAAACAAATGAGATCAACATCCTGAAGTATTTCTTTGAAGAATTATAACAGGAGATGAAACACAGCTTTACCAGTACAATCCTGAAGACAAAGCACAACCAAAGCAATGGCTACCAAAAGGTGGAAGTGGTCGTCAGGCAAAGGCAAACTGATGAAGAACAAAGGTCATGGCAACATTTTTTTTTTTTTTTTTTGAGACAGAGTCTCGCTCTGTCACCCAGGCTGGAGTGCAGTGGTGTGATCTCGGCTCATTGCACCACCACCTCCTGGGTTCAAGCGATTCTTCTGCCTCAGTCTCCCAAGCAGCTGGGGACTACAGGCGCATGCCACAACACCTGGCTACTTTTTTGTATTTTTAGTAGAGACAGGGTTTCATTGTGTTAGCCAGGATGGTCTCCATCTCCTGACCTCGTGATCCACCTGCCTTTGCCTCCCAAAGTGCTGGGATTACAGGCGTGAGTCACCATGCCCGGCTGGTAACAGTTTTTGGGAGGCTCAAGGCATTTTTGCCTGTTGACTTTATGGAGGGCCAAATAAAGAAAACGTCTGCTTATTATGAGAGTGTTTTGAGAAAGCCAAAGCTTTAGCAGAAACATGCCCAGGAAAGCTCCACCAGAGACTCCTCCTGCACCACGAGAAAGCTCTGATAACTCTTCTCATTGAGGAAGGGCAAATATGCAAGTTTCAATGAGAAATTATTAGGCATCCACTTTACAATCCTAATTTGGCTCCTTCTGACTTATTTTTGTTTCATATTTTTTTTTTTTTTTGAGACAGAGTCTTGCTCTGTCACCCAGGCTGAAGTGCAGTAGCGTGATCTTGGCTCACTGAAACCTCCACCTCCCGGGTGCAACTGATTATCCTGCCTCAGCCTCCCAAGTAGCTGGGATTATGGGCGCTCACCATCATGCCCAGCTAATTTTTGTATTTTTAGTAGAGACAGGGTTTCACCATGCTGGCCAGGTTGGTCATGAACTCCTGACCTCAAGTAATCTGCATGCCTTGGCCTCCCAAAGTGCTGGGATTACAGGCATGAGCCACCACACCCAGCTGTCCTAAATTTAAAAAGTGTGTAAAGGGTCCCCATTTATCTTCAGTCAATACTGTAAAAAAGAATGTACTGATGTGGTTAAATGCCAGCAGCCTCAGTTCCTTGGGGATGGACTAAACGGCTGCTATCATCACTTACAAAAGTGTCTGGATCTTGACAGAGATTATGTTGAGAAATAAAGTTACATTTTTCATCTTTTAATTCCATTTTTTTTCCACAAACATTTTGAAGTATGCTTACATGTTCTTACTATCAGGAGAAACACTGATATCAACTCATATACAACAGAAAATTTTATTCTCCAAACTGAAAGTATTGGTCGCAGCAGTAATTTAACAACAGCTTTTAAGTCTTTATCATCTATAGTCACTTGTTTCACTCTGATGCTTTTCTAAGGCTTTGCTTTAAGGTACAGACCACAGCTTGTGTCTTCAACAAAAGACAGTTTCAGAGATTTTTGGAAAAGCGCTCTGAACTACTGACATTTCAAACAGTTATCTCCTGGGCATGGGTTTCTGAGCTGAGAATGCTTAGACAACTTTCAGATATATCAGTGGACTATGTTACGATTTCTAGAACTCTTTTTAGTGAAATCAGATTATTAATCTAAGATCCAGCAGGAGAAGAATTAATTATTTAGGACTGAATGAGCTGATGAGGAAAACTCTGTTTTGTTTGTTTGTTTGCATGATGTTGTTGTAATATTCCATTTTCTAGATATATGACAAAGCCTTTTGTCTTTCTTCTTAAACTTTCTATCATGTACAAGAATCTAGTAGACTCCACTTTTCTACAATCAAACGAAACATTTCTAAATGATCCCTGATTTTTACTGACACTCCAGATTTCATACATTCTTCCTAAATTTCATTACTTTTCATGGCAATGTAATAGTCTGCACAGAAATCAGTAAAAATCTGTCCTACTTTTTACCAGAAAAATAATTGGACAACCTAGGTCAATATAAAATAAATTGGGCAACCTAGGTCAATATAAAATAAATTGGGCAATCTAGGTCAATATAAAGCATCACATTTGAGAATGGTTCTTATTTCATCAGATCTGACATTCTGCTCTTAAGGAACAACTGTTGATTTTGCATGGGTCCACAGAACACTCTCAGGGAAACTGGCTTACCAGGCTCCAGCGATACAGATGGGAAGACAGGTAAAATCCTGGCACATTAGAAGCATTAATACATTTTCAGGACTTCAAGAGAGTTTACCCAAATTTACATGTTATACAGGTATAACCTAGTAAAGACAGCCTTGAGCTTAGTTTTATAGTCACAGAATAATAAATAAGAGCAATTTTAAAACACAATTTGAAATTCCTTATAAAAACATTTGTGGTTTTAGTAGTTACATTGTATGGTTCTAGATGGAAGAAGTAAAGTCAAGGAGGCCTATATAGTAAATTAACAGTCCTACCACCACCATATAACTAATTAGGCCCAAACAAATGAGTCCAATATTTTTTGTGATTATTAAATTTTGAGATTATTATAATCATAAATTGGGATAGAAAGTAAGAAGAAATTTTGAAGGACGTTGAAACGAAAGAAACAAGATGAGTGGGTGTGTTATGAAATGCCAATCCTGTCATCTGATTTATGGGTATGTGCCACTTACAGTGTTTGAGCCACTGTATAACTTTAAAATTAATGCAAATTATTTGTGTCTGTAGAGACACAAATAGATTTTGTCTATGTTTTAGAAATGTGAGTGATTCTTTCCTCCTCAACAAAAACCACTTTGCATTTATTGTCAGATACGTTTCAGCATTTGTGATTGCCTAGAGATGACTTCCCTTTGCAATTCCTTTGAACTGGTTTTTAACATCTGACTAGTTTCCTCAAAATTTAAATAAAATCTTTGATGTGTTCATTTATATTTGCCTGAGAGTCATGACTTTGTTTTAAAAAATTATACTTTTAACAATTTAAAGAAATCAATATTAGGGGATTGTTCTTGATTTTGAAAAGGAAAAACTAAGAATATCAACCAACTTCAATCCAGGACTGCTCAGAAGCTGGATAGAAAAAATAATGAGGCCAGGCACAGTGGCTAATGCCTGTAATCCCAGCATTTTGGGAGGCTGAGGCGGGAGGATCACCTGAGGCCAGTAATTCCAGACCAGCATGGCCAACATGGTGAAACCCTGTCTCTACTAAAAGTACAAAAAATGGCCGGATGTGGTGGTGCATGCCCATAATCTCAGCTACTATGGAGACTGAGGCAGGAGAATCACTTGAGCCTGGGCGGTGGAGGTTGCAGTGAGCTGAGATCGTTCCACTGCACTCCAGGCCTGGGTGACAGAGAGAGACTCTGTCTCAAAAAAAAAAAAAAAAAAAAAAAAATACCGTCGTCGGGCATGGTGGCTCACACTTGTAATCCCAGCACTTTGGGAGGCCGAGGCAGGCAGCTCACTTAAGGTCGGGAGTTCAAGACCAGCCTGGCCAATATGGTGAAACCCCATCTCTACCAAAAATACAAAAATTAGTCGGGTGTGGTGGTGGGTTCCTGTAATCCCAGCTACTCGGGAGGCTGAGGCAGGAGAATCATTTGAACTCAGGAGGCGGAGGTTGCAACGAGATGAGATCGTGTCATTGCACTCCAGCCTGGGTGACAGGAGCAAAACCTCATCTCAGAAAAAAATAAAAGAAAAAAAGGCAGATGTTAAAAACAATTTCAAAAGAAATGGGAAATTTTAACATGGTTTATATTTTAGATAAAATTACTAAGTAATTTTTTTATTTTAAAAAATTAATAAACAGTTTTCTTAGGGGTAAAATTGGTACTAAATAATGGAGTTATTCTCTTTTTTTTTTTGAGACAGAGTTTCGCTCTTGTTGCCCAGGCTGGAGTGCGATGGCGCCATCTCGGCTCACCGCAACCTCTGTCTCCCGGGTTCAAACAATTCTCTGCCACCATCTCCCAAGTAGCTGAGATTAAGTCATGTGCCACCATGCCCGGCTAATTTTGCATTTTTAGTAGAGACGGGGTTTCTCCATGTTGGTCAGGCTGGTCTCAAACTCCTGACTTCAGGTGATCCACCCACCTTGGCATCCCAAAGTGCTGGGATTATAGGCGTGAGCCACCACACCTGGCCAATGGAGTTATTCTTAGGCCATGCTTGCTGAAGTATTGAGGTGTCTAGTATCACAAAATTTGCAAATCATGTTCAAAAAATATAGCAAAAAAAAAAAGAAAAGAAAAGAAAAAGAAAAAAGAAAGTGTGTCTTTGTGTATGAGCACAAAGGAAAAGAAAGAGGACAGAGCCATTGAGACCACCTGTTAATGGCTGGTGCCAGCAAGGTGGTGCCTCCATGGCTGCTCAATGTTGATATAATGTTGATGTCTCTCAACTTCTCTTGAAGTTGAAAATTTTCAAAATAAAAATGGGGCAAAATACCAGAGAGAAAATTTGCATTTATTTAAAAAACACTGAGCATTGGTTGAGAGTTTTAGAACCAGAGGACATAAAGGTTCTTGATAACATATGTATTTTTCATTCCTCAGATCCCTAGCCAGTCTATACTCCTTTGTTCCAGACACACTGATAAGAGAATAATCCAACTTAGTTCATGACCATAAGTTAATGATTATTTCAGATCCTGAAAAAGAAGAGCCGGAAAGTGACTGTTCAGAAATCAGAATGTCTATGTGGCATGTGGCAAGGGAAGAAGGTACATTCAGGCTCCCTGCAGGCGCACAATCTACAATGCAGGACCACCCATTTCCAGTCTCTGTGATGCTGACCACAGCCTCTTAGAGCTGGAACTAATAGCAAACCTCACTTGGTGTTTGTGGTCTCCTAATGCATTAGGTTCTCCCCGCACACACCATGAAATTCATCAGTACTAACTGCTTTGGACACAGAATATTATTACTGACAGGACAGAATTGAAAGAGGCCATACTGATATGGAAGTGCTGGGAAGGGAATGGCATGGTCGCTTTAACCAATATGGAAGGTGGGGAAGGGAAGTGCTGGGTAGAGGAGGGCATGGTCCCTGCCTAGGGCTCCACTCTTGGGCCTGTGCCCAGGGACCTAGGTGTGGACAATTATTTTCATTTTCCTGCCCCAATGTTGGCATTTCCCAAGACCACCCTGGCCTTCCACATCCCCATCCTGTGCCTATAAAAACCCTGAGAGCCTAGCAGGCAGACACAGGCGGCTGGACGTTGAGAGGAGCACATCAGCAGAGGAACACACCGGGGGCTGGATGTCTACAGGAACACACCAACAGCCACCAGCATGTTGGCCACTGACTGGCAGAACGATGTGGAGTGTGGCTGAGGCAGTTGGAGGAGATCCCAGGCTGCTGAGCAGCCCGACTCCAGGTGAAAACTATCTCTCTTCTGGCTCCCCCAGCTGCTGAGAGCTACTCAATAAAACCTCACTCTCATTCTCCAAGGCCACTTGTGATCCGATTCTTCTGGTACACAAAGGCCAGAACCCTGGGATAGAGAAAGTCCTCTGTCTTTGTGATAAGGCAGGGGTCTAATTGAGCTAACACAAGCTGTCTACAGATGGCTAAACTAAAAGAGCACCCTGTAACACATGCCCACTGGGGTTTCAGGAGCTGTAAACATTCACCCCTAGACACTGCTGTGGGGCTCCAACAGCCCTGTCTGTATGCTCCCCTAGAGCAGCCGGGCACTAAAGAAGTGAGCCACGCCCCCATGACATGCCCTGGGAGGAGGACAAGGAAACTTCCTGTTTCAATACCTGGTTATAAATATTGCTGGAGACCATAATAAAGAGATGGATCATAGAGGAAAGATCATGTGAAAAAAGGGTGAGTGTACAATTTTAGGGTAAAATAGAAATACGTTATTAATGAAGCAGGAGGTGGGTGTTTTAATTTTGGTCCAAGTTTTCAGTTAAAACTTTTTGCTTATAAAAATAATATCTCCCAAAAGCATAAGTGGGTTCTTGCATGAACAGAGAAGAAAACAAAGATTTACATTCCTATAAATTACAGACAACCTGAAATATGGCCCTCGAGCTACCAAATTTACTAAAGCACACTGGCAGTCATTAAAATTGCAGAACATTTTACTTCAGTGGTACAACCACAGGGGCCTCTGGGGAAAGGCTGGGCATTTTACTCACCAAAACAACTCATTGGAACTAAAGGCATTTAAAATTACTCCACTCAGGCTGGGCGCGGTGGCTCACTCTCAATCCCAGCACTTTGGGAGGCCGAGGCAGGTGGATCGCCTGAGATCAGGAGTTTGAGATCAGCCTGGCCAACATGGTGAAACCCTGTCTTTACTAAAAATACAAAAATTAGCTGGGCGTGGTGGTGGATGCCTGTAATTCCAGCTACTCGGGAGGTTGAGGCAGGAGAATCGCTTGAACCCAGGAGGCGGAGGTTGCAGTGAACTGAGATCGCGCCATTGTATTCCAGCTTGGGCGACAGAGCGAGACTCCATCTCAAAAAAATAAATAAATAAAATAAAATAATTCCACTCAGCAAGATTTTGTTGTTGGATACTTCCTTTTGTTCCAATTCAAATACAGTGCATGACATTGGAATTGCAAATTGCTCCCATTATACCTACCTGAAATGAAAAAACTCAAGAGATTTGACCAAGAAATATGAACACCTTTACATCAACAGAGTAAATGGGAGAAGACTGTTCATATCATTTATTTGGAAACGTTAAGGTTGGAACCACAATCTAACATTTGACAGAAAAAAATTATATCAGAGATCTGTAATAAAAAATACAGCATATACCCCTTTAAGAGTAGGCAAAAAGAGAAAATAGCTGGAGTATCCAACAGGAGATATTTTGAGGCAAAAAATTTAAAATAGACATTTGCAAAGATGATGATTAGGGAAGATGGTTTTCTTCTAAAGACACATGCAGTGAAGAAAGAAATCTTTATTCTTATCTGGGTTGCAAATGGCACTTTTTGCAAAAGAACTGCTACTTACTTCTAGAGTCAGCTAAAATGATATCAAACTTTTTTAAAGATGCCTTCTTAAGGCAGAAAGTGTCTTAATTTAGTTTTAAGATATTTTAGGCTTATTAACCTCAATAGTGAACTTGAAGATTTTCCATTAAATCCACTGTCCATCAGCCTATTATAGACATATTACAATTCTCCTCCCAACATCTTGCCTTCTTTATGAAGTTGACGCGAAGCTGAAAATAATTCTGTCAAATAAGACAAAAAAAATTAACAAACCACAAAATTCTATTTCATGTCATTCATCAAATGCTATCAATACACTCTGTGCCAAGCACTGGGTTAGAAGAGAACAATGATATTATTTGTCATTTATTTTAACTTTATCTAATTCATTTTTTATAAATGCACGAGTAAGTATCTTTTAGACATGAAATGTAATATGTGGATAGTATGTATATTTTGAAGGAATATAACAGTTTAATGCTATTTTCACAAATGATTATTTTATGCTTTAAAGAAGTTTTTGGTAAGTGAATGTGGAAATCCTGAAATAAAGTCAAATGATATGATTTGCATTTTCCCAGCAGCCTCTAAGGAAGCAGCCTGAGGGATCAGCCTGAGGAAATACCCTGAGGGATCAGCCTTGAGGAATCAGGTGAGGCATCAGCCTGAGGAAATACCCTGAGGGATCAGCCTGAGGGATCAGCCTGAGGAAATACCCTGAGGGATCAACCTGAGGAAGCAGCCTGAGGGATCAGCCTAAGGAAACACCCTGAGGGATCAGCCTTGAGGAAGCAGCCTGAGGAATCAGCCTGAAGGATCAGCCTGAGGGATCAGCCTGAGGAAGCAGCCTGAGGAAGCAGCCTGAGGGATTGGCCTGAGGATGCAGCCTGAGGGATCAGCCTTGAGGAAGCAGCCTGAGGAAGCAGCCTGAGGGATCAGCCTTGAGGAAGCAGCCTGAGGAAGCAGCCTGAGGAAGGAGCCTGAGGAAGCAGCCTGAGGGATCAGCCTGAGGAATCAGCCTGAGGGACCAGCCTGAGGGATCAGCCTGAGGGATCAGCCTGAGGGACCAGCCTGAGGGATCAGCCTGAGGAATCAGCCTGAGGGACCAGCCTGAGGGATCAGCCTGAGGAATCTGGCTGCAGGGAAAATAGAAGTCCTATCATTGGACTTTATCTCACCTTCTCTCACCATGTTCTGTATTGCCCATAATCTGTTTTTTGATATAATTTCAAGATACTGTCCCTGAAACTCTGCAATGGGGGGCTTAAGGAATGTGATAGCTTGACAAAGGTTTGGAGGAGGGTTTCCAGGATACCCTGTAGTGCTCTTTCAACTCCAGGTCTTAAACAGGGCCACATTCCCTGCAAGGCCCGGCACAGACCCCATGCTGAATACATAGAAGCTGCTTATTGCCTTGTTGCCCCATCACCATTTTTTTTTCTGTTCTGCCTCCTTCTTGGGGCCATTGAAGGTTCCTCAGCATTGGGCTCCAAATCCCTTCTCTGTCCTTCCCACCCACTTCTGTGCTAAGTCCCAGAACCTGGTATTGTCCTTTCCCCTAGATGATGAGTCTCTGAGCCTGCAGACTGTCTGGATCACTTTCTGGGGGCCAAGCACAGTGTCTGCTAAGAAGGCGATCCCTGAGACTTTTATTTTATTATCTAAATAAAAGGTGAAAGAATCTGTCCAAAATAGTTGCTTTAGGAATTGTACTCCTTATAAAGCAAAGAACACACTGTCACAGAATTGATTTTATCATAGTCATGAAATCTATGTTAGAAGAAAACAGCCCTTTTTCTCAGCCAGGCAGAGACTTTGAAGAGTTAACTTTTACTGTATCACAGTGGCCTACTTAATGCTATACAAGAACACAGAATACATGCTGTATTTACAAACTTCAAAGGAAACTAGCTATTTGCATTTTTATCTGTAGGAGAGGAGAGAAACATGTTTCCTTTTTGACCTTTTATCCTCAAGTTATATATGAGGAAGATTAAATTTGTCAGTATTGTCAGTGTAATCTATTTAGGGTTTTAAACCATAACAGTGGAAAATATCAAGATTGACTTTAAAGCCTACTGAATATAACTTTTTTAAAAAAAAGCTGGATGAGACGCTGAAATGGAGAGAAAGCCTTAGTTATGGGAGGCCGGATTGGAAGTTTTTCAAAATAAGCATCAGAAATAATGGGCCCCCTATTGCTCACATGCAGACATCAATCTTTTGTTTGTCCTGGCAAGGTGAGAAAAAAAATTGGGTTACCATCAAAGCCAGGTAATACGGCCCGCTCATTTGTAAATCACATGGCTTTAGTAAGCAAAGATGCTTCCTAGATTTAATGAATGTGGTATCAGAATGTTTTCTTTGAATGAGTACAGTGGTCTTCTATCCGGTTTTCTTCCTTCCATATATCTGTCTCTTTGAATGACACCAAGTGGATTAATCTTCCTAAAGCCCCAGTTGGGAAAATTATCATTCTGCCTTCTCCCAAGCTTTCAACCATTCCCACTATATGCCAAATAAGCTCGTTATGTTGCATTCAAAGCCTTCTAGGACTTAACAGTAACCTATCTTTCTTTTTATCTCAAATTTCTCTCCCAGGTACACCAAGTTGCAGCTAAACCAAACTGTGGTTTGTTGCCTGTTTCTGGATCTTTGCTCATTCTTCACCATCACTGATAATGTTCTCTCTACCCCCTACCTTTCAAAATCCCACCTGCACTTCGAGATTCAGTTCAGCTCACAGATCCATCTTGAAGCTAGACATGACAGTTTCCCTCTTTTGCAGTAGCAGAGAAATATGTTTGTACTCACAATATGTGTCACACCCTAGATTTTAAAGCTCCCGAAATGGATGAGCCTTCTTTTACTATTTTTATATCTCCCACTGTCCTGCCAAGGACGAAGAAATATTTTTTATATTTCTATATATTATTCCTACTATAAATTCCTTAGGGTGATGAGAACTTCCTTAGGGTAAACACCTAGTTTTTGGTATTATACTTATCCCTTACAGTATTTAGAATTTATTTAGTAAATGCTTAATAAATATTTTTTAACTAAATGAGTAGAAACCGTAGAATGAGTAGAAAATTTTTTCCTAAAACTACAAGTAGGAATTTTGTCTATCTCAGAGACAGCAGAATATGCTTAGTATTTCAATAAAGGACAGTTTTTTAGAATAAATAGCGTACTTTGGAAGCCTGAAATAGCTGGAAAAGATGAAGTTTCTTATTTATTATGCCTCTGGATGTGTTTTTAATTTATTTCCCTAGAAGAGCTCTTAGGCAAAGTGATAACTTGGCTTAGAATCTTTAGGAGAAATAAAGATGAAAATAAATACGGTTCTTTACCAAATTGCATGCACATCACACACACACACACACACACACACACACTCTCTCTCTCTCTCTCTCTCTCTCTCTCTCTCTCTCAATACAAAAGAGACAGCGCTAACCCTGTCTTGAATCCATAGAATCCTCAAATGCATGCATTTCAGAGTATTGATGGTGACACTGATAAAACATTCAGAAAATGACTTATTCTGAATCTGCTGAAGGGGTGTCCTCACAGTGAATGCCTTCCTTTCCTTCTGAGATCCACCAAAAAACATACTAGTCTGTTCAGAGTGATCTTAGAATTCAGTTATTTTTATGGCTTGGAAAATCTACTCCTGGAAATCTGTTCTTTAGAAATACTGGCAAGGCTGTAAAGATACATGTACACTGCTGTTAATCCCAACATTTGGAGAAGGAAAAAAAGTAAGCGATCTCAATGTCTACTAATAGAGCAAAGCTAAATAAATTACAGTACAATGGAATGTATACTCTGCAGCCGTTGTGATAAATCAAGTATGTCCATAGGGGTCCTTGGTTAAAAGGCTGTCCATGATGTTTTATTAAATGTAAAAAGCGCGTTGCAAAAGATGGGGAAATACCCAAATTGCTGAACACTTCTGTAGATCTCATTTTTCTAAGAGTAATATTCTATGTATCTATGCACTTATATTTATAGACAGGCATACATATGTATAAATTTGAGTACATATGTTGATGTCTGCAAGTGCTTATACATCTGTTTATGTGTAGATGTATGTATAAATGTTTATACGTGTTATATGTAAAATATATAAGCTATATATATATGCATGTACATACCTTTATAGATATTTTTACAGCCATAGATAAAAAGATGTAGAAAGATTCAGAACAATTTAGAATAATTATCTCTTTTATTGGCTTAAAGGAGGGAAAAGTGAACTTTTATTCACTTAATAGAAAAAAAGAAAAAAGTAGCAGAAGTTCAAAACTGTGGTGTTTAATTTGGGGGCCTGTTCTGATTCATGAATCAGATTTGAAATATACTTGAAGCCTTTTCTTAAAAATGGTCATTCTTCTGACTTGATCTGCAGACTTTATTGATTCCAAATGGTTCACAATGAGGCTGTGTTCTGTCATCTTTTACAGCAATTGTTCCTACTTTCATGTATCTGCCTGTGACTACAGGAGGCAGCGGCTTCCCCAGACCACTCACCTCCCTCCTTCACACCTGCCTGGCCCGAGTCCCACAGTGATACCTGTCATGGAACTACATCTTGTATTCATGTGTTAAACAGAGCTCTGTAGTTGATTCGCAAGAAAGAAAGTTCCTTTCAGTGAAACAGAGTTGTAGCATAATTGTTGTTTTAAAACGGTATTTTTCACATCAAAAGATGATTTAATGTAGAATTATTTTTTAAATGAGCTGCCTTCATAGATTTAAAATATACTTTAACAAATATTTGACTTACTCTCACATACTTGACATTACCTAATATGTACCTTGTACACCTTTTTTATGGATTAGAGTTTGAAACCAAACCAGAGGCACCTTCTGTTATGCCATCCTCTGAAAGCATATTTCAGGCTGAGAATATCTATTTTGCATTTTCTTATTATGTATCTTGAGATGCAATTTCTTTCTTTTCTTCTTCTTCTTCTTTTTTTTGAGACAGAGTCTTGCTCTGTTGCCCAGGCTGGAGTGCAATGGTGTGATCTTGGCTCACTGCAACCTCCACCTCCCAGGTTCAAGCGCTTCTCCTGCCTCAGCCTCCCAAGTAGCTGGGATTACAGGCACGTGCCATCATGCCTGACTAATTTCTGTATTTTTTAGTAGAGAGGGGATTTCACCATGTTGGCCAGGCTGGTCTTGAACTCCTGACCTCAGGTGATCCTCCCACCTCAGCCTCCCAAAGTGCTGGGATTACAGGCATGAGCCACCGCGCCCGGTTGAGATGCAATTTCTATAACAGCCCTCACCAACTATTTTAGGTCTTCCTGCTGGACTCATTTGCTCATTTATTCAGCAGATAGTTACTGAATACCTACCTGCTTCCTGCCACTCACTTTTGTTAAGTGCTGGGGATACAGATGTGAATACAGTGAACATAGTTCAAGTCTACTGAGGCAGGCAACAAACTTTCATCCTACAGTCTCCTAAATAAAGGTAGACTAGCACATTGCATTATGACACATGAAAGAAGAGTAAAGAAGGAGGTGAGAGTTGTCACAGGCTGCAAGAATCAGGACAAGGAACTGTTCTCTGTGGAAAATCAGATAAACAGAGACCTGAGACCTGGACAGGAGTCAGCTGCATGAAAAAATGCAGACAATTTCTCTGGCCATGAGACATGCGAAGGCCTTGAGATACAGAAAGATTTGGAACTTGCTTAGGAATGGGAATAAGGCCCATGTGTTTGGAGGGCAAGAGGGGACCCAGACACAGAGCCGTGTCAGTAAGGGCACATCTGAGTAAGGCTTTCAAGAAGCTGGCATTTCAACACAGATCCTTCTGGCAGTCAGTGTGCATTTACCAAATGGGCCTGCCATTATCCGTACATGTTCTCATGTAGTATAAAAAGTCGCAGGAAGCTTTTTGGGAACTTGCCCCAGAATTTCCACAAAAGCAGAGCTCTCTGATTTCTACGGGGAGGCAGAGAGGCTGGAGGGAAGTGGACCAGTGAGAAGTGGACTGCAGGGCTGCAGGGAAGCCTGATCAACACGTGGGCTCCAGGCTGCTGGATGAACAGAGCCTGGGGTGGACTTCAGCGGGGTAGTTCCATGCAGGACATGATCCACACAACGCTATGAAGTCCTGTTCCCTGCCCAGAGCCACCAGAAGTATCTTCCTAAAGCATAAACTGGTCACTCTGTTCTCCTGACTTAAAAACTCCAGGCTGGGAGTGGTGGCTCACGCCAGTAATCCCAGCACTTTGGGAGGCCGAGGCGGGTGGATCACCTGAGGTCAGAGTTCGAGACCAGCCTGGCCAACATGGTGAAACCCCATCTCTACTAAAAACACAAAAATTAGCCGGGCATTGTGGCAGGCGCCTGTAGTCCCAGCTACTCGGGAGGCTGTGGCAGGAGAATCCCTTGAACCCAGGAGGTGGAGGTTGCGGTGAGCCGAGTTTGCGCCACTGCACTCCAGCCTGGGCAACAGAGCAAGACTCTGTCTTAAAAACAAACAAACAAACAAACACTCCAATGACTCCCTGATGACTAAGTGATAGAGTTATAACTCCTTGAAGGACACAGGAGGCCCTCTGCAAGTGGATCCCCCAAATTCTTTGTCTACTTTTACTTCCCTGAGATATAACTACAGCTTACTTCCTACCCCATATGGGCCAAGACAGAGCACTCTCTGTGATTCAGCACATGGGATTCCTCTTCCAGGGATGACTAACCACCTCCTCTGCATGGTAACCTACTGCTGATACCACAAGACAGCCTGCTGCCTCTGTCCTCCTGATTCCACAGCTTTTGGAGGGCAGCACACGGCACTGGGGAGAACAGCGGGCATGCCCCTGGCTGTCCAGGTCAGCTCAATTTAACTGGTGGTCAGTGGCTTACAGATATTGGTACCAGCTATCCCTAACAGCTAAACTCTTTGCAAAGCATCTCCTCATGGGGCAAAGTAAAAGGAAGGTGGGAGATTGGGAAACAGTTACAGGTAACTAAAACAGCATGTGCCAAGGTCCTGTGCTGTTTTGCTCAATGAACTGGAGAAAGACCAGTGTCTGGAATGCAGTGTGAAGTAAGAAGAAGCCAACAGTGGCAGGCTCTGATTAAGGTTTTAAGAAGTGCAACTATCTTTTGCTTTTACAAAATATTAGTGGAATGGTGACTGATGGACATCCCCGTGAAATGGCAGCAGACAACACAGAAAACATGAATGGACCCAACCATATGTTAAATTGGTTCTATCTTTGGCCGGGTGTGGTGGCTTATGCCTGTAATCCCAGCACTTTGGGAGGCCGAGGTGGGCAGATCTCCTGAGGTCAGGAGTTCAAGACCAGCCTGGCCAATAAGACGAAATCCTGTCTCTACAAAAAATACAAAAATTAGCCAGGCGTGGTGGTAAGCACCTGTATCCCAGCTACTTGGGAGGCTGAGGCAGGAGACTCACTTGAACCTGGGAGGCAGATGTTTAAGTGAAGCCGAGATTGCGCCACTGCACTCCAGCCTGGGCGGCAGAGTGAGACTCAGTCTCAAAAAAAGTGGTTCTCTCTTTGCAATAGCAAAGAGAAAGAAAACAAATGGTTACAAAACCAAAATACAGTAGGGGACACTGATAAAATTCAATTTAGCAAATTCTTCCTGGCCTGTGAACTTGCTAAGGGTATGGCGTTGTAGGGACTGTGAAAGATGAATGGGACCTACAGACTGGTTTATCAGGTATGAGGGAAACATTTAAATATTTACACAAAATGCAATGGGGTTTCAATATAAAAGAAGGTTCAGAAGGCATCACAGAACACGTGAAAATTGTACTGCGTCTTCGAGAGTTGTAAAAGCCTCAGGCGAAGGGCTAGAAGAGGGAGTTTCAGGAGAAGGAAGGGCAGCAGAGTGAAGACACTGAAACAAGAATCGGAATGGCTGCCCTATTCCAGGGGCATTGAGCCATGTCCCTAGAGCAAAACGTGTCTTTTTAGAAAGAAAGAAAATCATCAATAAATTATAATTTTTTTTTACATGTCAAAGAGGAAAGGTACGGGTGTTAAGTAATCAGTCTAAAAAAAGTTTTGGGGCAATTTCAATATTTGTTCATAAGAATTCATGAGTAGGGTTTTTACGTTACTATTACTTTAAGTTGCTGTAGGCAGAATTTAGCTTGAAGGAAATTTAAGATTTCTTGATAATTAAAATACGAAACAGTATGGCAAGACAGGCTGGGGAACTCCAAGTCTGCCTTAATTAGATGCTAAAAATAGATGTTTCTAAAAGTCCTGTTTCCTTTCTAGGCCATCCAACATTCTGGAGAAGTGCTTTTAATCTCAGCAATGTGCTAATTGTTTCTAATGGCCTGTAAACAAGCTCCCTGAACTATTAACCTTCTTCTCTCTTTAGCCAGAGATTCAGGAAATTAGTCTTTGAAAGAAGAGTCTCCAGCAGGTTGCCCAGGAGGGTGTCCCAAAGTACAGACACTGTCACTGGTTTGGAGGAAAATCAAGGTCAGATCTGAGCAGCAAGCTTGTAATGTGGAATAGACAAGCTCAAAACCTTAAAAAGAAAGATCACTCCACTCCTCTCTGGTTTAGTTTGGTTGTGTTCCTATCTGGAAGGAGAAATATAAATGTTAGGCTGGGCACAGTGGCTCACGCCTGTTATCCCAGCACTTCGGGAGGCCGAGGCGGGCAGATCATTTGAGGTCAGGAGTTGGAGACCAGCCTGGCCAATGTGGTAAAACCCCGCCTCTACTAAAAATACAAAAAGTTACCTTAGCTAGGCATGGTGACGGGCCCCTGTAATCCCAGCTGCTCGGGAGGCTGAGGCAGGAGAATTGCTTGAACCCAGAAGGCGGAGATTACAGTGAGCCAAGATCGAGCCACTGCCAGCCTGGGCAACAGAGCAAGACTCCATCTTAAAAAAAAAAAAAAGAAAGGAAGAAGGAAATGTAAATGTTGGCACCTCTCCAATGGCTTCCAAACACAAACACAAGCCCATAATCCCAGGATTTTTAAAAAACATTAAAACAATATCCTTCAGTTGACAAGAATGTTGAAAATTTGATTGTGCTAAGTTAAAATTGATGCCATATTGAAAATGGCGTTCAATTTAATCTCAGAAAGGCAATGCCTACCTGAACCCTCGGAAAGGAGCTGGGGCATTGAGGGTGCCACCCTCTGTTCTGCTTGTCCTTTTCAGAACATGACAAAATTAACTTAATTTGTCATGAAAGATGAATGATCACAGAGTAGCCAAAAAATGTTGTGAAAAAGATGGTCAGTGAAGAGAGGCTTTATCAAACATATTTCAAACTTTATTTAAAATTACAATAGTCGGCCAGGCGCCGTGGCTCATGCCTGTAATCCCAGCACTTTGGGAAGCCAAGGTGGGCAGATCATTTGAGCTCAGGAGTTCGAGACCAGCCTGGCCAACATGGCAAAACCCCATCTCTACCAAAAATACAAAAAATTAGCTGGGGATGGTGGCGCACATCTGTGGTTTCAGCCAGTTGGGAGGCTGAGGCAGGAGGATCACCTGCACCCAGGAGGCAGAGGCTGCAGTGAGCTGAGATTGCATCATTATACTCAAGACTGGGTGACAGTGAGACTCCATCTCAAAAAATAAATACATACATAACATAAATAAAATTACAGTAGTAAAACTATGTGCCTGGCACAGAATGAGCAATGGAACAGAAGTAAAAGCCTGGAGGGGAGAACCCAAGAGAGACAGATATTTATGTGTGATCTCAGCTTATAAAACCTTTCCAATTAGTGAGGTATTAGATGATTTGCTAAATGGTATTAGAATAATCAACATAATAAATAATAATAAAAGTTGGATCTTTTTAGCATTCCTCAATTGAGGTAATCAGGAGGATCAAAGAATCACATGTATAAAACAATGAAAGGGTAAAAGTAGGATGACGACGTGAGTCAATCAAGTTAATAGCCCAAGAGGGGCCAAGACATGCCCACGTGAGCAGAGAAACCAAAATCCACTGATCATTGACTACACACAAATGTAATAATTGATATGGAAAGACACTCTAAACAGAGTAAACATATGGAAAAGTGCTAGCATTCCTGACATCTGAAGAAATCTCCTGAATTTATTTATTTATTTATTTAGATGGAGTCTTGCTCTGTTGCCCACGCTGGAGTGCAGTGGTGTGATCTCAGCTCACTGCAACCTCCACCTCCCGGGTTCAAGTGATTTTCCTGCCTCGGCCTGCCAAGTAGCTAGGACCACAGGTGTGTGCCACCATGCCCAGCTAATTTTTTAATTTTAATAAAGACGGGGTTTCACCATGATGGCCAGGCTGATTTTGAACTCCTGACCTGGGTGATCCACCTGCCTCGGCCTCCCAAAATGTTGGGATTACAGGCGTGAGCCACTGTGCCTGGCCCAAATTTATTTATTTATTTTTTAAGACAAATATCCAATAGGAAATTTAGGGTGGGGGGATGGCAGGTCAAAAGAAGTAATTCACAGAAGGATAAATACAAACAGCCAGGTTTACCGGGAAATCACACTCAGTGTCAGGGGAGCAGCTAGCCAGCAAATGGCCCAACAGCTAGCAGCACAACCACGTCCCTGAACACCTGCCGGATGCCAGCCCTGCAGGTACTGCTGCAAAGAGGTGCCCAGATAGGATAGGTAGAAACAAGTGACACACACAAGTCAGAGGGCAGCATGTGTGACAGGGTCTCATCACTACAGCATTCTACACACACATGTACATTCCGAACACATCAGCAGGAAGACTGGGCATCAGAGTTACAAGACAGGTGTGAGCTAGCACGACGCACCCTGAATTTCAGATCCATGAATAAGCCCTTTCCTACTTATAATCAGTGGTACTGAGGCAGAATGGGGCGCACCTAGGAATACACACTTTAGTACAAAACCTGGGCTTGAGACCCTACTGTAACTTATTGACTATGTGACATTGAATTACATTCCAAGCCTCTTCCCACATAAGTCTTGGTGACTTACGTGAGGACTGGGACACTAATAGTATCTACCTCCCAATGTTATTCTGAGCATTTAAGGAGGCCCTGCATGTAAACACAGTTAGCACGCACTAAGTTTGGGCAGGAAGAGATTTTTCACAGTTGGGTAAGGCTTCCAGCAGATGCGACTTGGTTGATAGGAATCTCAGCCGTGTAGCTGAAACGTAGCTTCTATAATACATCGAAGCGAAGCACTTAGAGGCATATGGCTTCTGTGAATGTGCTGCAGCGCTGAGCAGTATCTTCTTCATCAGTTCCACTAAAGACTGGAAACTCATTATAATCCTGGCAAGACTGAGGTTTAGCCAAGAATGTTCTAATACCACAGAAGCTCTGTATGCCACATCACTGATGCCGCCACAGTGAGACAGAATTCGAAGTACAGCCAGATGCTTTTAGTAAGGTTCTCTTTGGCCTGACCTTTTTTCCACTCCATTCGCCTTGCTTTCTGTGGGAATAATTCTCTCAACTTAAAATTACCAAATAGCATTAAAAATTCTGCAATATTTCTGAAATCATATTGACACATAATGGAGGATTTTTCAGAATAAAATTAGATGACTCTTGTAATTGTTTTATTAAGGAACTGCAAACTTGTTTCCATTCTTCCTGAAATTAAGTATTCATTTCCACTGTAAGGCAAGAAAAACCAGCTAACATTATACAGTCAAAGGGTGACACCTATTAAACCTGATCGAGGTTTTTGGAATTTATTTAAAATACAGAACTAAATTACAGTTTGTTGGTTCTGGAAAATGACTTTCAGAATTGCTTTATCTCTGTACAACCAGACTCAGCCTCTCCTTCACAGTGCAGGCCTCCTAATCACTGCCTGTTTACCATGAAGCATGTTTTCCAGTATTGGCTCAGCCAGTTTTTCTTCCTTCCTTTATCAAAATCCAATGGAAAAGAGCCAGCCCCATGGCTCAATGTGAAAGGCCAGGAGTTCACATGCACAATCTTAAATTTGGAACTAAATGTATTTCTCTTCAGACCATGAAACAATGGAGAGGAACAGGAGAGTTTGGAATGTACATGGTTTAAGCAGTCTCGGAGGAAGTCATCGTCCTGTCTCACAAAATCATTCCTGGGTCAGCCCCACCTCTTCTTCCACCTAGAGCAGGCTTTCCTGACCTCAGCATCATTGAAAGTTGGGCAAGATAACCCTTTGCTGTGGGGCTGACTCGTGCTTTGTAAGATGCTCAACAGCAGCCCTGGCATCAACACACCGGATGCCAGGAGCACCACCCTTCATTGGTGACAAATAAAATGTCTCCAGACATTGCCAAAGGTCCCCATTGGGAAAAAACTACCCCGGATGAAAGCCACTAACTTACAGCTATTTAAGGGTATTATTATATCTAGATTCTTGCCTCATGTCATATTATCAAAAAAGAAAACAGAGTTACAGAGAATATTTACTAAATTTTACATTATCATAATTATATTCATAAAAATTACATAATTGGCCTTAAAAACATTATTGTTTTCATAGGAAAAAAAATTTCAATTCAACTCGCCAAAGAAGGGTTTGTATTAAAATTTCCTTGGAGGCCGGGCACAGTGGCTCACGCCTGTGATCCCTGCACTTTGGGAGACCGAGGTGGGCGGATCACCTGAGGTCAGGAGTTTGAGACCAGCCTGATGAATATGGTGAAACCCTGTCTCTACTAAAAATACAAAATTAGCCAGGCATGGTGGCGAATGCCTGTAATCCCAGCTACTTGGGAGGCTGAGGCAGGAGAATCGCTTGAACTGGAGAGGTGGAGGTTGCAGTGAGCCAAGATCACACCATTGCACTCCAGCCTGGGCAAAAAGAGCTAAACTCTATCTCAAAAAATAAAAATAAATAAATAAAATTTCCTTGGACAGATGATATCTGGGATGTGAAAGCATGCGTGCCAGTCACAGTAAAGATTATATACTCTTTCATTATGCTTCATAGAACCATGGCTGTGGTAAGTTTGGAGAACAAAGTACAGATAAGTCAAGACCTGTTGGTTCAAGTAAAGACTTACCTACAATATCCCCCTTTCAGTTAGCAAGTCAGGGCCAAAATCTTGGCTAATATTTACTGTCCATATGTGATCAGCACTGTTCAAGTTTTATCTCTTGTAATTTTCACAACCTTTTGAAGAAGTTGAGAGACTGGGGAACTTGCCCAGGAAACAAGACAACTAGAGGTAGAACTGGGTTTTGAACACAACATTCTTTCTCCAGGGCCTGTGCTCTTGATTCCAGCCTGTTCCATGGAAAATGTTCACCAAAGGCTAACTCAGCGGGTGTCCTTGAGCACCACTGAGCCATTCAAGGGCAAATCAATCTATGCTCAGAAACAAATGGAAATGAAGACTGGAAAACAAGAAAATCAGATATGGTGAGAAACTGGGGGAGGAGAGAAAAGTCTGTGCCTTCTGCCAGTCTCAGTGCAAAATCAGTATGGCATAAAATAGCACAAATGGACAAGAAGCAAGTGAGAGAGTACAGTGCTCTCTCAGGAAAGCATTCCACTGTATTTATGGAAAAATAAACTCTCTCAATTAAGCCAAATTTTCAAGATAAAAGGATAGTTCCATCCATCTATAATTTAGTAAGGGATACAACAATAAATGTTCTGAAATTTATTCTTTAATTTCCTGAATTAAAATCTCTCTCCATATGGACTAGGAGTTGCAAAAACATATACATATATATGCAATTATATATATAATTCCAGAAAACCAGATTAGAGTTGAACAGTGACACCTATGTAAAAACCAATGTGTGTGATGGAGTCATCCTATTTCGTGCATTTTAGCATTTTCCTAGGATACTGTTCTATATAAATTCTGTAATAGAGTTATATATAATATAATTACTGTAGCTATTAGTGATTTGAAAGGCCACTTTCTTGGAAAATTTCAACTTAGTGTTGTCACCGGCATTCCTGGTCATTTTCTTTGTGCATCCTGTACACGTGTGCAGGTGTACTGGACTCTGTGGTCATGGGAACCTCCGAGTCTTCAGACACCCGCTGGAAGACCAGCCATCATCACTCAAGTCTGCAGCCAGCTGCCCAATACAGAATGGAGTGAGATGGCACCTTCCTTACTGTCATACGTGTAAAGTCTTGCAGTAGGAGAGGATCTGAGAGGGAGCAGCAATTCCAGGGGAAACTGTTCATTGATAATAACATCTGAATGACATTTGACAGTTTCCTAAGCACTGTCACGTGAATGTTGTTTCTGAACTATCACCACAACCTTGATACTCCTTTTAAGTAGGTACCATCAACATCATATGACAGAGAGGTAGCTGAGGGTAAGGGTAAATGACTAGTTCAAGTTTATATGGCAAGCAATCAACTGCAGATGCAAATCCATGTCTGTTTTTATTTTTTTGTTGTTCTTGTTGTTTTTTTTTTGTTTGTTTGTTTGTTTGTTTTTTTGAGCCAGAGTCTCACTCTGTCATCAGGCTGAAGTGCAGTGGCACAATGTTGGCTAACTGCAACCTCCACCTCCTGCGTTCAAGCGATCCTCCTGCCTCAGCCTCCCTAGTAGCTGGGATTACAAGTGTGCGCCACCACGCTCAGCTAATTTCTGTATTTTTAGTAGAGACGAGGTTTCACCATGTTGGCCAAGATGGTCTCAATCTCCTGACCTTGTGATCCACCCGCCTCGGCCTCCCAAAATGCTGGGATTACAGGCGTGAGTCACCGCGCCCAGCCCATGTCTTCTCTTGATTTTGTTTGCTTTCTGTTCCACCATGCCATGTTTCTGACAGTATCGCTAGACACCACTCCAGACCACCAGCAAAGAAAGCAGAGGGCTTGCGCTCAGGGGGCAGGTCCTGAGGAGTCTCCTGAAGTCCTCCCGTGCAGGTCAAGGCTTTCATTAACTACGCGGATCAATTTAACCATCTCTCTTGTAGAGGAGTACTTTAAAACCTAGTCAATGAGTGCTAATCACAGAAATCATTTCAGATTAATCTTAGAAATAATCATTAAATAAATGTAATACCCTTTAAAAAGGGGCATAAAAACAGATTCAAGTTAAGAAAGTCTAGTTGACAACAAAATGCAATTCCACATCCCAGAAGCTTACTGAATTGCATTAAGCTTAGGATGCTAATATTGGATGTCATGTCTCTATATGGTTAAAATGCACAAAGAGATAAAGACGCTTGCATTTATTTTAAAAACTTATTATAATACTTGGGTAATTTATCAGTGACGTTGTTTATTTGTACTGTGGTTAAATTTTTAGCGCAATAATTGTATTTCTTAAAAGACACGCTAAATTGTTCCTCTCTTCTTATGCCTGGGAAACCATATGAAGATTCAGTAGGAAACTAAATTTTGAAGTTTATTCCCTAACTTTTCTTTAAGATACATTTTGACTATTTGAATGTTTTATGTTGTTGCTATTTTTAAGGGAATCATTTATATCAGATATAATGAGAGAAATTTAAAGTAATTTCTACATCAAATCAATATTATGGTATTTGTAAAAAATAATAATAATAATTAAAACTCTGTTTTTTCTTTGCAGTTGTTTTCATTGTAATATGATACCTGAATTTTATGTAAGAATGTGAGAGTGGGCCAGGTGCAGTGGCTCACACCTGTAATCTCAGCAATTTGGGAGGCCAAGACAGGTGGATCACCTGAGGTCAGGAGTTTCAGACCAGCCTGGCCAACATGGCAAAACCCCATCTCTACTAAAAATACAAAAAATTAGCTGGGCGTGGTGGTGGGTATCTGTAATCCCAGCTACTTGGGAGGCTGAGGCAGAAGAATTGCTTGCACCCAGGAGGTGGAGGTTGCAGTGAGCTGAGATCATGCCATTGACCTCTGAACTGGGCAACAAGAGTGAAACTCCATCTCAAAAAAAAAAAAATGAGAGAGAAAAAAGAAAAGAATGTGAGAGTGGTTAGTTTATAATATAGTTAACATAGTTGAATCTGACTGTTTTTTGCTTTCAAAACATGTATTATTCCACTAAGTGGTATCAGTTCCCTTTGCATTACAGCAGTCACTGGAATAAGTTAAATATTGTTATTTTTGTTATTTCTTGTCCAAAAAATACACACTGTACACTTTCTCTTCTAATACTGTCCTAAACAACTTTTCGCAGGATTCACTGGTTATTCTCCTGCCTGTTGCCCAAGGGCTGTAGAAGATACAGAGAGAAGTACCACCCAGATCCCGTTTCAAATAAGTATTTGCTGCTCAGATGTGAGGCGTGTGGCCAGGGATGGCCTCTGCTGTCAGCATCGGCACCTGTCCCTGGCAGCCGCACCGAGAGGCTGAGCGAGCTGGGGATCTAGCGGTTTTCCCTTTGCAGGCCTCGGTTCCGACGGATAAGATAAACTCACACCAACTTCTGCCTCAATTTCTGCCTCTGGAGAAGTCCGCCCATAACAGTCTCCTGCCACAGCCTCTGCAGCAGCCACATATAAGAGGTTAAACTCTACTAACATTTCCAAAGCAATCCTTTTAGAGAAGTCTTATCTTTCCCAAATACTTTTCTGTCACCAATGCCCAATTTCTTCCAAAACTACTTCTTATACAATTACGTGTCCACACTATTCCTCCCATTAATATTAAAATATATTTGCTTGTAGCAACATGGTCCCTCCTAACTCAAAATATTTCCTCTGAGGTGATACTCAGGGTTAGATACTCCCAAATGAATAAATGCCTCGTTTCTAAAAATAACTATTTATGACATATATTTCCCGAGAACAGGATTATTAATAATCATAAGTGATTTAGATTTGTGTACAGATCTAAAATTTTCAAAGTGTGTTCACAGAAATTAACTTATTTGATCCTACCACCACCTCAGGAATTAACCAAATTTAGGAAATTAAAGTCACAGTGATTGATCTGCCCCCAGTCAGACAATGAAATCGGTGGTGGGTTCAGGAGGGAAAGCTGTTCTTATGACCTCCATCCTGGAGTCATCTGCTTTCTGTGTTACAACCTGCACACCTACAGACCTTCTGCAAAGTAGAATGTGCTCCCTGGGGGATTGGGGTATATGATCCTAAACTCCAGGGCTTCAGAATCTGTAACTTGGATGTTGCCATTTGAAGCTGAAATGGAAAGGGAGGGCTGTGCTAACTTGGCTCCCCGCTTTGGTGCCACCACACTGGAAAAAAAACATGGTTCCAAGTGCTTACTGCATGGACTCACTTCATCCTTACAATAACTGCAAGAACAAGAAGATGCTCTTATTATCTAGAAGGACAGAGGCAAAAGATGGCAGAGCCAGGTTCTGTACACACAGTCTGGCTTCAAAGGCAGGGCTCTGAACCACTGTGCTTCATGTGTATCTTGGGAATTGGAAAGACGGCTGGAGACAAACGCAAAAGACATCCAAATCTTAGCAGTGAGTAAAGAATGAAAATGAAAGGGAAGGCAGAAGCAGAAACTTCTTTAGCTGTTGGGGATAAATCACGCGATAAGAATTTAAGAATTCAGGGGATGATTTAAGATCACCTACATAGTCACACATGTCTATAAATAACTCTTGGATTAATGGTCTATGTATACTTCCATATTTATAAGAATAATGCAAATCAGAAGAGCCTTCACCAGACGAGGCCATTTGAAAGAGATGGGTTTTAAGCAAACTGGGAAGGTGATGTGGAGTGACGATTAGTTACTATTAGCAAAAGGGTCAGTGCTGCAATGATGTAGGACTGCAGCTTGCTGGGGACAGAAAGTCAATCTGTCTTGCTTTGTTAGAACAAGAAATGAAAGTCAGTCTGTGGATTTAAGAACAGCAATACCAACTCCTCACCTACATGGTAGACAGCTTGCTTTTCCAATTGCAGTTTAGGAACAAAGGGAAGGAGAATTCACTTTGTCACAGAATTTTCACTAATGAATATAGACACCAATGCAGGAATATGTGTTATATTTGTGTGTAACCCTAATCACTATTACCTATGCTACCTCTCCTGAACCCCAGTGGCTGTGGCACTGTAAAATGGGTATAAATAACATTCAAAATGTTAAGATAAACATACATGCAAAATATCTAACAAATGGTAAGAACAACTTGTTAGCAATAGTTGGACCTTCTCCAGCCTTGTGGAATATATACTGATGTCACATTATCCTGACGTACACATGTGTCTGGACTGAGCGCACAAGAAAACAGTCCTGTGCAGTCTGGAACACCACAAAGTCACTTTTGTTCCGGCTCAGAGAAGGAATCTAATGTGGAGACCTGCAATGATAGCAACAGGTGTTCAAGTTTGACTTTGTGGTCACGGTCTGGTCATTTCCAGGGTAATATGCAAGGAGGAGGTACTTCAGCAGAAACGGAAGCTACGTGGGATGGCTTGGGGTTAGGCAGGTAATGTACGTATCTAGCCGGTTGGGTGTAAAAGAAAAGGGAGTGGGAAAACTGGTGCATGCTCTGCTCAAACACATAGCAAATGATTCTATGTATTTCTTCAAAGTTCTGTCTTGGCCAAGTATTATAAAAGAATCTTGGGGAAAACTTAGCCTAAAGAAATAAAGTTTGGGTCCCTGTTCTACCACGATACAGTGAAAATGAACAAGAGGTGTTCACACCTTCTGCCTTGCTTGAACTAGCCCGGTTCCGTCACACCTTCACCTGCTAGAGAGTGTCCCCGTCGACGGCTTTCCCTGCCATCGACAGAAATGCATCAGGCTTGATCAGAAACGCAAGGTTTTATCTCAGCTTGAAGCACCTGGAATAGTTTCTTGAGCCACGGATGAACTCAGTAAATATCTGTTGAATGAACAGACTAATCTCCTTTTACCTTATCTTTGATGGTAGAAGAGGTATTAAAGATCTCAAATGCCTGCATGAGACTGCGTTGCCTGTGATACTGATATAATAGAATGCTGGTATATCTGTGTAGCCCAGTGCCTCTCAGTGTTGTGAAAATCCACATCGAGATCTAGAAACTCTTGAAATTCCACTTCCGGTGCACAGAAGATACAGCACATGAGGTCATGTTTCCTGTGATGCAGAATGTGTCAAATTCACAAGGAACAGAATGAACACACCACGGCCCTTGCTGCGATAAATGAATTTGCACTCCGGGTGTCTGAAACTATTGCTTATTTTGTCACAAATAGCTCTACAGGCTTTGAAAGCTACAAAGGACAACTTTGCAAATACTTAATTCTAAATGTCATGAGAAAATAGAGCTACATAAAGGATGTTTATAGAGGGCAAGGTAGATCATATTAGTGCTAATCACTAAAAAGTGTCCCAGCAGTTTAAAATTTCTATCTGAAGATATGAACTGGCACAAACATTATTTGCAATGAAAAGTAACTTCTTCCCCTCACCTAGTTTATAGCAAATTGCTAATTATAAGGATAAAATTGCCATTAGAAATAAATGCACAAGTAATGCAATAGTTTTCTTTAAAAAAAAAAGTTATTTAAACACTGTGGGTATTTCTTTCAGATGAAAATGGACCTTAAACACAAAGCTTAACTGTTAACAAAGTTCTAGCAAGGGTCTCTTAGATGCTTCAGGAATGTAGCACCTTTTTTTTTTTTTTTTTTGAGACGGAGTCTCGCTCTGTCATCCAGGCTGGCAGTGGCACAATCTCGGCTCACTGCAACCTCCACCTCCCAGGTTCAAGTGATTCTCCTAACTCAGCCTCCTGAGTAGCTGGGATTACAGGTGCACACCACCATGCCTGGCTAATTTTTGTATTTTTAGTAGAGACGGGGGTTTGCCATGTTTGTCAGGCTGGTCTTGAACTCCTGACCTCGTGATCCACCTGCTTCGGCCTCCCAAAGTGCTGGGATTACAGGCATGAGCCACCTCACCCGGCCGCTCCATCTTTCTTAATATCCACCAACAGGCCAGGCATGGTGGCTCACACCTGTAATCCCAGCAATTTGGGAGGCTGAGGCCGGTGGATCACCTGAGGTCAGGAGTTCGAGACAAGACTGGCCAACATGGCGAAACCCCGTCTCTACTAAAAATATAAACTTAGTGGGCATGGTGGCATATGCCTTTAATCCCAGCTACTCAGGAGGCTGAGGCAGGAGAATCGCTTGAACCCAGGAGGCGGAAGTTGCAGTGAGCCAAGATTGAGCCATTGCACCCCAGCCTGGGTGACAAGAGCGAAATTCCAAACTCTGTCTCAAAACAAAAACAAACAAACAAACAAACAAAAAACACCCACCAACAGAAAATGAAGTGCTTAAGATCCAGACAGTTACAACACGCAAGGTTGACCCTAACGGATACAAAATTGGTCCAGGATTTGCAATATTGCCCTGCTCTTCCCAGCGGGGGTTGCTGCGCACCTGCGGTGACAGTTAAATGAAAAGGTAAGGCATAAGAATTTCATGCACAAGCACCTGTGACATCTCTAGGAAGCTCTGCTGACGCAGCTGCTCACATCTGAAGCCCACAGGTTCACCACGGGAGAAATGAAGGTCACTGGCTGACATTAAAACTGAATGGTTCACATTTCAAAGTACCAGTGGGGATAAAATATTTCTTCTATGCTTTCGTAAGTAACTGACCCCAGATAATATGGCAGCATAATCTATATCCTGTGACTTGGACTTCAAAATTGGACATTTCCCCTTATTTCTAACACCTCCTTAAAAATCTCCATTGATTTCTGACTAATTCATTGTTTTATCTGAGTTAAATAATTAACTCAATTAGTCTATTAAATTCAGAAGGGATTTTTAAAAGGAGATTGTTTCATGTGAAAATAGTTTGCTTTCTGTTTGTTGCACTGCATGAAACAGATTTTCCTTTAAGTCAGCATTTATTTAAACCTCTTTGATGCAAAGTCTTGTGCTGGCCACGGTAGGGAGGACCAGTCACACTGGCATGTCAGTCAATTTGGGTCTTGCCCTGCAAGCAGCCTGCAATTTTGCAGAGCAGCAGACTTGGAGGCAGCTCTGTATTTTTCTACTCTTACTGGTTTTTAAAGACAGACACACAGGACAACAGCGAGTTCAACTTTTTCTTTTCTCTGAATCTCACTTTACTGCTACATTCTCCTTTTCACATGCAAATCCACCTTCCGGCCTCACCAGATAGCCTTGCTTTTCGCTGTACAGAGAAAGCCAGGACCATGCAGGTTGGAGGGTAAGGTGTAATGAAAGAATAGCAATGCAAGCCATGTAGACTTTGGTTTGTAGATTGGTTTAACCACTTCCTTGTGGTGTGATCAGATGTAATTTTTTTAATGTGATAGATTCAATTTCTTCATTTATAAGATGGAAGCCCTAATTATTTTAAATCAATGTAGCTAAAAAATTACAGGTCATTAAGCACTGCATCTGAATCTCAAAGGGAGCATGGTGATCACCTGTTATTGAAGGCTTTATGCAAAGATTCTTTCTGGAAGGGTTTATAGCAGCTCTCCCTCAAGACTGGATTAGATGAGGGTGTGTCACACTTTTCAGAAAAGAATCACTCCTGGCATAAGGAGATAGAATTTACTCCTATGGGGCCTGGGGCACAGTGTGAAGTAGCCTGCTTCAAGCTAGAAGATATATCTTTGAAGTTTTCTCTTTCATCTTAAAAAGTTGTAAGATTTTCCATTCGACTCTAGAACATACCCTTGTTTATTATAATATAAACATATTTGGGTCTACTGGGAGAAATATATAGCTCTGTGTGCACAAACACTGGTGCTACAACACATAAAAATCTTCCAACAATTTCCATGACAGAAAGAAAACCACTTACTGTGAAAGGCTATGTTAAAGATTCCAGTTTAACTTTTTGTACGTATACCTGAGTTTCTCACCATGCTCCTCAGAGTCTGATGACTGGATAAACTATCAGATCCCATCTGATCCCTAAATTTTAAGAAAATCTTAAGTTGATGGAAAGTAGCTATTGGTAATGTCAAAAATCAGACTGACAAAGAACTTACACAGTAATTCTAAGTCACAACAGAATGCCAGCTATAGCCAGAATTAATATGTGAATTGACAAAAGAAGCTTAAGACATAACAAATGCATTCAAAGGGAATTGTAACTAAGATCTCCATTCCCTATCTCTCTTTGTTCAATGAATGAATGAAAGCATACCAAAATCCAGTCAAATTATCTTTAAGTCATTCTCCCCCAGGAACACCTGGAGAAAGTACAAATGGACTTTGAGATAAATCTTTGCTAATCCCCAGGCCCAAGTAAATCTTTTAAGTCTGCAATCCATTGTGGCATTGCTTCAATAAGCCGAATGAATTTTATTTTAGGACAAATTTGAAGGCAATTATGAAACCATTTATATCAAACAACAATGACATCAAAAACATAAGTCTTTATTGGAAGGGTTGAGGGAAATAACATGGTAGAACAGATTTTTAAATTTAATGCCCAACAGGGACCTGGGTTTTCAAACATGTGTCTCGAAGGTTAATTTCCGACTAAGCAAATCGGGCTATTTTTCGGTCTGCTTCAGCTTTGGAAACTAAGGAATAATGATTAAAGGTGAGATAACATACAGAGATTCACTAGCTGCCTTCTATCGATGAAAAGAGTCAAACTCTGTAAAATATTTAAAGAGATTTATTTTGAGCCAAATATGAGTGACAATGGTCCATGACACAGCCCTCAGGAGGTCCTGAGAACATACCCAAGGTGGCTGGGGCACAGCTTGGTTTTATACATGTTAAGGAGGCATGAGACATCAATCAAACACATTTAAGAAATACATTAGTTTGGTCGAGAAAGGTGGGACAACTCAAAGCTGGGGGCTTCCAGCCTATAGGTAAATTTAAACACTTCCCTGGTTGACATTTGGTTGAGTTTGTCTAAAGACCTGGGAGGGATAGAAAGGGAATGTTCAGGTTAAGACAAAAGACTGTGGAGACCAAGGTTCTTCTGAGGTCTTATAATGGCTACCCTTAGAGACAATAGAGGACAAATGTCTCCTATTCAGATCTTTAAAAAGTGCTAGATTTTTAGTTAATCTCTTTAGGATTGGGAGGGCCTGGAAGAAAAATATCTAGCTATGTTATCTAGATAGAAAAATATCTAGCTAGCTATAAACAGATGCAAATTTTCCCCCACAAAGGACAGCTTTGTAGGGCCATTTCAAGATACAGCAAAGAAACATGTTTTGGGCTAAAATATTTTGTTTTTCTTCCTTGTCTCATAATGTTATCCCGAAGTCAGTTTGGAAAGTAGTCACAATAAATAGGGTTAAATAAAACCTATCTGATGAGAATATACGAATTGTAGGGCATGACTCCCCAGACTCCTTAGATAGAAATTTGGGTATGATAAAAAAAATCAGAGTTTAGTCCTCAATATCTTGATAAGGATTTTTCTATTTTGTATGTTTTCAATTTTTACCCTTTAAAAAATTTAGAAAACTGGCACTGTAAAGGGAGATTGAAGGAGCAGAAATATCAATTTCGTTTGGGAGACACTGACAGAGGGTGAGCCCCAAGACACACATGCTGGCTAGGGAAAGAATTCCGGTATCCCTTTGGCTTACCTGTGCCATTTTTATATGACTTAGGCACCCAAAAAAGTCCTGAACCTTCTGTTGTAACTTCTATTGGAAAGACTAAACAAGGCAGCTATTTTGCCTTCAAGTGCTAGACTTACTGTGCTTAATCCAGTTCTTGCTTTTTGTTCAGCTTGTTATGCTTATATTCATAAACCTCAAACTATCAACTGACAACCCTGAAGGGTGAAGAGCAAGTCACTACTGTTGGTAAGGAGAGGAGAACACAAGGCTTGATGGCCAGAAGGGAACCTGCAGCTTCACAAAAAACCTCAGGACATTCTGGTTCCCAGATAGTTCACTTTTTCCCTTAAGAAAGAGTAAAATATTTTGTTTGTTTGTTTGTTTGTTTTGAGACGGAGTCTCGCTTTGTTGCCCAGGCTAGAGTGCAGTGGCACGATCTTGGCTCACCACAACCTCTGCCTCCTGGATTCAAGCGATTCTCCTGCCTCAGCCTCCCAAGTAGGTGGGACTACAGGTGCACACCACCACTCCCAGCTAATTTTTGTATTTTTAGTAGAGATGGGGTTTCACTATGTTGGCCAGGCTGGTCTCGAACTCCTGACCTCGTGATCTGCCCACCTCAGCCTCCCAAGGTGCTGGGATTACAGGCGTGAGCCACTGCGCCCGGCCTAAGAAAGAGTAAAATATTTTATGTCAAATGTAAACTCAAAGGACACAAATCATGTACCTGAATTAAACTGTAAACCTAAAATCTGGCCATGAGTCACACATGTCTCTTATACATCGGCCTACATGTTACAACATATATGTGATTTGGTAGGCGCATCATTGCAGACTTCATCTTTGATTTCTGCATTTGTCAACAGACAGAACTAAATACAAGTATTTTTGCAACTGTCTCAATCAATTTATAAGCTATGAAGAAGTCTTATTCCTCCCTCCTGCAGTCCTTAGAACCAGTCAGAGCCTTGGAGATGACCTACTTAAAATCCTGGATTTTACACGGAAACCAAAGGCCAAAGAAATTGTGGTATTCTCTTAAGGTCAAAAAGTTAGCTTTGTGGCATTAGAGCACTTGAATTATTATTAAAAAGGTAAATGAAAGAGTTATCAGTCTCTTACTATATAGAAGTATATTTGTAAAGCACAAAAACATAAAATTCTTACTTTCATTAGTACTGACAACCGAAATGAGTGACTGAGGCAGAAGGCTCCGTCATCAAGGTCTATTATTCCAGCTTGAGAGCATGCCTGGGAAAAACCCAAGTCACAGCTACCTTTGTGGCTGCTTTTTCCCTAAGAGGTTCTCAGGAGATTTAGCATTTATGCATTTTCCTTAAAAGGGGGAGGCAATGAGACATACTTGTGATGATTATATACTTGTGAGCCTTTAGATAGTGCCCAGTAAACCTACATTTTACATAAGATAAGGTGAACATTTAAAGAAAATCAGAATAGAGGAAACAGCTGTCTCAGGGAGGGTGAAGGACTGATTTATCTTATCTTGCCTTTATTCTGTACCTGGGAAGATATAAGCCAGTGATGGACATTATCAGTGTGGGGCCTTTTTTTTCTTTTGAGACACAGTTTCACTCTGTCACCCAGGCTGGAGTGCAGTGGTGTGATCACGCCTCAGTGCAACTTCCGCCTCCCGGGTTCAAGCGATTATCCTGCCTCAGCCTCCCGAGTAGCTGGGATTACAGGCGCGCGCCACCATGCCTGGCTAATTTTTTTTTTTTTTTTTTTTTTGTATTATTAGTAGAGATGGGATTTCCCCATGTTGGCCATGGCTGCTCTCAAACTCCTGGCCTCAAGTGATCTGCACACCTCAGCCTCCCAAAGTGCTGGGATTACAGGCGTGACTCACCATGCCCAGCCTCAGTGTAGAGTCTTTTCGAAGGCCTGGTTTCTGTTTAGCCCTTAGGGAAGGAAGCCTAGAGGTGGTTAGTGAGGGTGGGGACATGACAGGCCTGTCTGACCTCCCACCCCATCATGGCTGGAACTCAGCTTCCAAGGTGTCTCCACGGTCCCCTTGACAAGGAGGGATTCTGTTCAGTCAGTTGGAGGCTTACAATTTTATTTTTATTTCTCAGTATAAGGAGTACGCAGAAACTATATTTACAGATAAATTAATACTATCCTCCGATTTTCATCTATTATGTGGTTAATTATGTCTAATTTGATTAATGATGTATGATTAATACATATATATACACATAAGTAAAACAATTATAAGAATAAAAAATAGATTTAAAACACCCTTTTATTTTTAAGTCTGTAATTATGAATTTGATTTATCTCCAGGAAAATATAATATTTTAAAATAAAGACCAAAGCAACATATTTAAACATAAATTCAAAAGACAGTAAACTGTATATTTATAAAGGACACCGTGATATTATGAATAGTGAATGAGAAAGCAATTGCTGAAACCAGATCTGTTTTGTAGACTTTTTGTATAGCTTTCATATGGAGAAAGTTTCACATTGTTCTCTCACAATAAAAATGCAAATAAGCCAGTGAGAAATTCTTGTATTCATAAATAACAAAATAATAAAAAATCTCCTTTATCAAATAGGCAAAGACAAAAATTATGCTGAAAGAGAGGCAGGAGGGAGCCCTCTCAAACATGGGAAGCCAGATCAGAACTAGAGCAGTGTTTCTGGAAAGGAAGGTGACAATATGGATCAAGAACCTCAAAAATGTCCATTACCGTGGACCTGCAATCACTGTTATGACCGTATTCTTAGAGCCAAGGCATGCAGTCAATGATGTCTGTAAAATAATATGGTTTTCAGTCTTATTTGTTTTTTTTTTTTTTTTTTAACTGTGAGTAAATGCTCAAAAGTGGGGAAATGGTTAAATAGAACTGAGACAGCCAAGGTACCCAAGGGGGTACCCGGAGAAAGTGACCAGCCTGTGCACTGGGAGAAAGGGATGGAGCCTTGGGAAGTTCATGCTGTTTGGGGTGGGGAGGAGCCTGGCCTCTCCTGATCTGGGTAGTACCTGGGATTTCAGCTGGTGAGGTGGGAAAACCTGCCTGGTTTCTGTTTAGCCCTTAGGAAAGGAAACCTAGAGGTGGTTAGTGAGGGCGTTGGCATAACAGGCCTGTCTGACCTCTCACCCCATCATGGCTGGAACTCAGCTTCCAAGGTGTCTCCACGGTCCCCCTGACCAGGAGGGAGTCTGTTCAGTCAGTTGGAGGCTTAATATTTTACTTTTATTTTCCAGTATGATAAGGAGTTCACAGAAACTATATTTACAGATAAATTAATACTATACTCTGATTTTCATCTATTATTTTAATCCATATTCATTTTGCCTTATAGATTTTCATCTATATTCATCTTGCTTTGCTGAGAGTCCCTGTTACCCTTTTTCTTTTCCTTTTTGCCCAATAAATTCCATTTTTCTCACCCTTCAAAGAGTCTGCGGGCCTAATTTTTCATGGTTGTGTGACAAGGACTCTGTTTTTAGCTGAACTAAGGAGAAAGTCCTACAACAGCATATCCCCACATAACGGAATTTTAGGTACCTATTTTTAAAAAACTGTTTTCATGGCAGAGAAAATTTATTATGATTTTCATTTTTTATTTTTTTGAGACAGGGTCTCACTTTGTCACCCAGGCTGGAGTGCAGTGGCACAAACAGCTCAATGCAGCCTTGACCTCCCAGGCTCAAGCCGTTCTCCTGCCTCAGCCTCCCAGGTAGCTGGGACTACAGGTGCATGCCATCATGCCTGGCTAATTTTTATATTTTTTGTAGGGACAGGGTCTTGCCATGTTGCCCAGGCTGGTCTTGAACTCCTGAGCTCAAGCAATCTGCCTGCCTGGCCTCCCAAAGTTCTGGGATTACAGGCATGAGCTGCCACGTGCATGCCTGGCACAGAGAAAATTTATCATAATGTCCTGCTAAATGGAAAAAGCATGATACGAAACTATATATATATATATATATATACATACACACACAATATAATTATACAGCACACACACACTGCAAATAGGCATAATCAAGATATTGCAAAAAAATTAACCAGAAATTTTACTAAGCATGAGGGTAAAAATAACTTCTAACACTTTTTTTTTTTCTTGAGACGGAGTTTCACTATTGTCACCCTGGCTGGAGCGCAGTGGTACAATCTTGGCTCACTGCAACCTCCACCTCCCGGATTCGAGTGATTCTTTTGCCTCAGCCTCCCGAGTAGCTGGGACTACAGGCATGTGCCACTACGCCTGGCTAATTTTTCTATTTTTAGTAGAAACAGGGTTTCACCATGTTGGCCAGGCTGGTCTCGAACTTCTGACCTCAGGTGATCCACCTGCCTCGGCCTCCCAAAGTGGTGGGATTACAGGCGTGAGCCACCGTGTCTGGCCACTTCTAATGCTTTTTATAGTTTATTGTGAATTATTTCTAAATTTAAAAAGAAAGCATTATCAGGAAAAACCCCACAATGATCACCAAACTGCACGGAGTGTCCGTGCAGGCGCTCATAATGTCCTTACACGTGGATCCCTCGAAGTCAGAAGAAAGAGTTCTTCTCTCTTTCTTACATATGGGGCACTTGGCTGCCTTACACGAGAAGGGACCTTATTCAATCAAGTGGTTGGTTATATACACACACCCTTAAGATGCATCTGGATATAGTCGCTTCTATTTATAAATTCTCCCAAAGGCAATCATATGAACAAAATTAATGTGACAATATTATTTTTCCAGCAATTATCACCCTGTGTATCTGGGAAGTAAGTGGCTCATTCTCTTCGAAAGATGTTGCCAGTTATTAATACGAAAGTGACAGCATAACAGCAGGAAACGGGGAGGGCAACGCTCTTAGTAAGATAATACCATCATCACCACATATTTTAATGTCATGTTTACCAACCTTAATGGAAAGTTTAAAATACTGGCTGATGAGCTGTTTTCTGACTTACAGAAGAGTATTTTGAATTTTTCCTTTGAAAAACTGAACAGTGACTTAAATTACCTGCTGCTATCAGCGCAGTCAAGCCCTCGCTTTTAGCACTTTTCAATCCCTTTCCCGAAACACCAGAATCCCCATCTTAGCTGTTCTTCTTGCATGTTGAAAGCGTTAGCCATACACAGTCATTCACCTTGCCAAGAGAGGCTGAAGCGCTATATTTTAAAGGCAATGTTGTGGTGCTTCCTGCCACAGCAGTGACTAAACATGCAGCAAAGAGAAAATCACGTCTCATTTTTATTCCTTCTTGGAAACAGGTTTGTTCAACAGATGCTGTTAAGGTTTTTGGGCTTCTATTAATCAACATTTTAATTTTAATTTATTAGAGAATAGAAATAGCCTGATAGGAGTGTGAATATTTGCTTATCACGAAATCACAGAGTTTAAAGCAACTTTAAAAGACCATCTAATACAGTTCCAAAAGCCAGAGAGAGACAACACTTAAAATGATTAGGGTATATGACTATTTTTGCTTAAAAGTCTGAAACAATAGATTCTTTGACTTTATTCATTAATTCATTTTGGCATTTCATTAAAAAGTTCTTTCTGGGCTGGGTGCGGCAGCTCACGCCTGTAATCCCAGCACTTGGTGGGGCTAAGGCGGGCGGATCACCTGAGGTCAGGAGTTCGAGACCAGCCTGACCAATATGAAGAAACCCCCGTCTCTACTAAAAATACAAAATAAGCCTGGTGTGGTGGCGCATGCCTGTAATCCCAGCTACTCGGGAGGCTGAGGCAGGAGAATCCCTTGAACCTGGGAGGCGGAGGTTGCAGTGAGCCGAGATCCCGCCATTGCACTCCAGCCTGAGCAACAAGAGCGAAACTCCTTCTCAAAAAAAAAAAAAAAAAAGAGTTCTTCCTGATATGAGGGCTAAGTTCTCACTATTGCAATTTGAGCTTCTTAGCCAACTTCAAAGAACATGTAACGAAGCTAATTTCTTTTCTCTGTCCATTCGGAAAGTGTAGAGTAAGGAATTGTACTCTGAATTGCCTACTCTGCAGAGCAAACAGACTCAGTTTCTTCCACTTTGTCCTTGGCTCCTACACCGCAATTCGTATTGAGTCGTTTTCCCTTTTTTTACTAACAGGCCATCTCCACATTTGCTTGCTTTTCTTGTGTTCACTGGGATTAGAAATAACAAGGTCCCAAACTAGCTACTTGCTTTCATTTTGAGTGCATGAATGTGTGCGAAGCCTCAGCATAAATATAGGCAAATATGGAGAACTGAAATGTATGGAAAAGACATTTTAAAAATAAAATGTATGGGCTACATGTTGTGGTGTTCATAAATTTTTTTTCCATTCCTGGCCGGGTGCAGTGGCTCACGCCTGTAATCCCAGCACTTTGGGAGGCTGAGGTGGGCAGATCACCTGAGGTCAGGAGTTCAAGACCAGCCTGGCCAACATGGGGAAACCCTGTCTCTACTACAAATACAAAAAATTAGCTGGGTGTGGTGGCACATGCCTAATGTTAACATTTTAAATGTTAGCACCATATTTTAATTTTATTTTGGAACTTAATGGATGAGTTTACATTTTATACTCAAATATGTGAGCTTATATTTTAATATCAACTAAGATTACATACACTATTTTAGATATGCCATCTCCCATCTTAGGACCCTATTTACCTACTTAAACTAAGTCACTGGCATTTTAAATTGTTTCCTCACATTAAAATATACCCAAATTGGGCAGACGCATCAAAATAAAGCAGACACTCCCCAGGAAAGAGAGTTCACTGAGGAAGGCTCGTGTGGCAGAACAATATTGGGAAAGTAAGGAGGGGGGAGTGATGCTATTTTTAGATCCTTACCTCACGTCCGTGGAGGGAAGTGACACTATTTTTAGATCCTTACCTGACGTCTGTGCACGTAATGCAAGTGATGTTCCGACTATTTGTTGCGATCAGGTGCAAAGCTACTGATGTTTCCTTGTCAGAGGTGGGGTGTGCTCCACATTTAAAGAAAAATTCCTGAAAGAAAGATAAATATGATCACACACATGGATCCCGGCTGCTCATTTTTCCTCTAAATGTTTCCACAGTAAACAATCTCTTTGGACAAGAGAAGAAATCTGTTACGAGGTGTGAGATGGAAATAAATCAGCATCAAACCTTTCCCAGGAACGGATGACCTTGTGCCAAAGTGGTCAACAATTCTGTTTTAGAAGGGCCCTGAGTCTCTGCTATTCTTTTGCTCTTTAAGCGAGGGAGCTGGAGAAATACGCTGTGACCTTCTTTAAGCCATGCCCCTCGATGATAATAAGTGAGTCTAGAAGAATCACACGATGTGGAGGTGGGAGGAAGCCTCTCACTAATGAGGAAAGGGAGACGTGAAGCCATGAAATGAGGTGCCCACGGGTCAAACAGTAAGAGGTGAAGCCAAGAAGTAACCCAAGCTCCCCGCAGGGAAATCCAGTGCTTTTTCTCCAGTATCACTACATGGTTAGTCATTTAGCGGAGTCAGGAATTGAGAGAGCCCTACTGTAAATAGCCACACAAGTACACATGGACTCCTGGTAGACACAGAAGTGCAGCAGAGGCCCGGCGCGTTGGCTCGCGCCTGTAATCCCAGCACTTTGGGAGGTTGAGGCGGGCGGATCACCTGGGGTCAGGAGTTCGAGACCAGCCTGGCCAATGTGGCGAAACCCCATCTCTACTAAAAATACAAAAATTAGCCGGGCATGACGGCACATGACTGTAATCCTAGCTACTCGAGAGGCTGAGGCAGGAAATCGCTTGAGCCCGGCTGAGGCAGGAGAATCACTTGAGGTTGCAATGAGCTGAGATCACCCCACTAAATTCCAGCCGAGAGTTTAGCAGAGCATGGCTCTCCCAGCCCCATCTGGAGTCTGCCCCTTTTCTGCCTGGCATCAACACCCCAGCATTCCTGCGAAGACTCTGCCGCCCACCCTCTGTGCCAGGCAACTGGAATGCTCCAATCCAGTATCTTGCTGCTTCTTAGTTCCTTTCCCCAGCCAGGTCCTGCCACATACTCCCTCATTTTAGCTTTTCACATAGGTCACGTTCTTTTGATTGATAATATTCTCCCTTCTCAACCACGTTTTTTCTTCACTTTTTTCTGTTCTAACTTCTGTATTTGTTCTCACTCTCCTTCTGTTCACTCACACACCAAGGCGTTTGGCCAGCAATTGCTTTACTTCTTGTCCCACAGTCTGCATGCCTTCCATGATACTAACATCTGTGAAGCTAAATTTTTTGCTACTGAAAAAAAAAATACATATATTTTACTGGATGACAGAATAACCCCTGCATACCACACATACTCCTAATTCCACTTGCGTTTAACTACCTGAAATGTGGGAAGGATTTTCCCTTAAAACACTTGATCTGGTATTGACAAACTTTGATGTAAAGTGCCAGATATTACGCATTAAGTGCTTTTGGTTTTGTAGGGTATATGGTCTTTGTCACACTTCTCAACTTGGCCTTGTAGCTAAAAACAGCCATAAGCAGTATGCAAATGAATGGGTGTGGCTGTGTCCTAACAAAACCTTATTTACAAAATATGTGGCAAGTTGGATTTTTCCCTGCAGGCCATGATGAGACATTTGTAGAATGCTTTATTCATATTTGTATTCTAACAGTGACTGACATTAGGATAGGCATGACATATACTTCTTTTTTTTTTTTTTTTTTTTTTGAGACGGAGTCTCTGCCTTCCAGGCTGGAGTGCAGTGGCGCGATCTCAGCTCACTGCAAACTCTGCCTCCTGGGCTCACGCCATTCTCCTGCCTCAGCCTCCCGAGTAGCTGGGACTACAGGTGCCCGCCACCACGCCTGGCCAATTTTTCGTATTAGTAGAGACGGGGTTTCACCATTTTAGTCAGGATGGTCCTGATCTCCTGACCTCGTGATCTGCCTGCCTTGGCCTCCCAAAGTGCTGGGATTACAGGTGTGAGCCTGTAATATGCCCAGCCTGACATATACTTCTTAAGTGAAAAACAATAGATTAATCAACGCTATTTAATCAATGTTATTTATCATTTATTTAATAAATGCTATATGTTATCCCCTTATACGTTTGACAGCAACATTTGATTTCTTCTTTTCCTGTTTATAATTTACTAACCTCATCCTCCTCTGACATGTGACACCATGAGCAACAGCCCTTGGTCTGAAGCTGTAGTGTGCATCAGAATCACTCGGGTGGGAGGGGGCACGGACTTGCTAAACCAGAGATCGCTGAACCCACCCTGGGATTTTTGTGATTTCTGGGATGGCATCAAGATTCGCATTTCTAACAACTTGCCAGGTGATGTTGTTCCTACCGCTCAGGGGCCCACACTTGGGAAACCTGAGCTCCACCAATGTCAGAGGCAAAGTGAGTAAACTCTAGTTACTCTCTCGCAAGACCGCTGCTGTGGCAGGTCGCTTACCGTGTCTGAAAATAATGCTACATCTTACGTAAAATATGTGACTCTCAAAAATCTGGAGTGTGCCATTTTACTTTTTTTTTGAGACAGAGTCTCACTCTATCGCCTAGGCTGGAATGCATTAGTGCAGTCTTGGCTCACTGCAACCTCCGCCTCCCAGGTTCAAGTGATTCTCCCTCCTTGGCTTCCCGAGTAGCTGGGATTACAGGCACCCGCCATCATGCCAGGCTAATTTTTGTATTTTTGTAGAGATGGGGTTTCACCGTGTTGGCCAGGCTAGTCTTGAACTCCTGACCTCAAGTGATCCACCTGCCTCGGCCTCCCAAAGTGCTGGGATTACAGGTGTGAGCCACTGTGCCTGGCTGAGTGTGCCATTTTGATGAGAGTATCCCAAAGCCAGGGATTTGGAACCCAGGCTATTCTTCACTACAAGTCTCACCAATCCCAGGTGGTATAATTTAGTTAACTAAACCTATCCTATCTGGGGCAGTGGAATATCAGCCGGTCCTCACACCTGCAGTCCTCAGCCCATGGAGGCATGTGTGTGGAGTCTTGCTGGAGTGGACAGGATGTCCAGTGTGTGTGATGGGCCCAGGCTCAGGCATGCCTGTGGAGTCCTGCCCATGAGTCCAGGACCTTCCCCACAGCAGCATGGAAATCATGCTGGCTGATGTTTTTGTTTGGTTATGTTTTGTTTTCCTGAACATAGGATCCCATTCCTTTTACTCAATCTTTTGAAATGTGACAAATCCTTCAATGGCCAGCTCAAGGGTATTGAGAAAGAGATTTAAAACAATGTCTGAACACCAAAACGAAAAGTCTGAAGGACATGACTGACCCTTATGAAATACGCTGAGCTAGCTACGACTGGTTTTTGCAGACATGAAAAAAATCCTCTTTCAAAACATAAAGTAATTCCTCCAAAACAGCTGAGTTGGCAGGACTATTGAAAAAGTATTTCATATACAGATAAATAGATAGAAAGCACTTACGTTTTTTCTTAGCTTACAGAAAGCTGCAGTGGACATTCAGCTAACAAATCACAAATTGTTCTAACACCAGATAAAATTCAGCCAGATAAAAGCCTTTTTATTGGGGGTAGGTGTTTATAGATAATGGTTTAAGAAATTACAGATAGTTGAAAAATTCTAGTAACACATATAGTGTTGATAAAACTAAAACTCACATTGCCAACCCTATATTAAATATGTATGCCTCAACAGTAAATTTCAGTGCTTTCTCCACCAATTTTTATGAAAGAATGTTTTTGTTGTAGTACTAGAATAACTGGCAAGAACTGTGAAGAATGTGGGATTTTACCCAGCTTGCAAGTTAGCAAGTTAGTTTGCTGCAGTATCATAAAAGCTGACAGAAGACAAGAGACTCCTGGATCAGAGACAAAGGACTGCAGAACTCAGAGCACAGGGAGAAAGAAGCATGAGCATCATATTACACCAGTTCCCCTCCACACGTCTCTCTCAGGGTTGAAGTAGATAGGCTAAGTCAGATTCTACAGGTGCAGTGGTTTTGCATCACAAATGAGAACTCTGAACTTAGGAAACTCAAATCTTCTTTAAGTAGTTCTAAGCAAGTCATCTTTTCATCCTGAAGGGAAACATTGTCTTTATTATACTGCATAATAAGCAAATCTGCCTTTTGATCTGGAGAGAAACATTATCTTCTCTACTTTCTGTTTTTTTGGTTTTTTTTTTTTTTTTTTTTTTTAAGACAGAGTCTTTTCTGTCGCCCAGGCTGGAGCGCAGTGGCACGATCTTGGCTCATTGCAAGCTCCACCTCCCGGGTTCACGCCATTCTCCTGCCTCAGCCTCCCAAGTAGCTGGGACCACAAGGCGCCCGCCACCACGCCCGGCTACTTTTTTGTATTTTTAGTAGAGACGGGGTTTCACCATGTTAGCCAGGATGGTCTCAATCTCCTGACCTCGTGATCTGCCCACCTTGGCCTCCCAAAGTGTTGGGATTGTACAGGTGTGAGCCACCACGCCCGGCCCTATCTTCTCTACTTTCAAGGTCATTTGCTCTAAAACTTCCTTGAAAAGATGGGTCAGAACAAGTTGGTGTCTCCCTCAGAGATGAGCGGACAAATGACAGACCCATGGAGAATTGCTTCTCAATAATAACACCTTTTCTTGCAGGCTAATTTGCAGTTATTTTATTGTATTTTATTTTATTGTATTTTATTTTATTTTATTTTATTTTATTTTTTTGAGATGGGAGTTTTGCTCTTTTTGCCCAAGTTGTAGTGCAATGGTGCGATCTTGGCTCACTGCAACCTCTGCCTCCCAGGTTCAAGTAATTCTCCTGCCTCAGCCTCCCGAATAGCTGGGATTACAGGCATGTGCCACCATGCCCAACCAATTTTTTATATTTTTAGTAGAGATGGGGTTTCACCATGTTAATCAGCTGATGTCAAACTCCAGACCTCAGGTGATCCACCGGCCTCGGCCTCCCAAAGTGCTGGGATTACAGGTGTGAGCCACTGTGCCCGGCCGATCTGGTCATTTCTGCTCCTGTACAATCAGTGGGCTGGATTGTTGAAGTCTTTTCTGACACTTCCAATCTGTATTCAAAACCAGCAGACAATAAAGGAACACACAATAGAAGTGAGAAGGGCCTTTTTCGAAAATTCCACCTTGGGTGTCTGAGATGGCTTGTTCACACATGGGTGTCATCTCACAGACAGTGGCATGATTCTTTGGGATTAACTGCCTCTGAATTCTGTTTTGTTTCTCTTAATTACTCAGTTTAAAAAATTAAAAAAGTCAAAGACAGGAAAGCTTTCTAGCTGGAGTCCAAGAAGGCTGGTCAGAAGGCTGGCACCACTGCACCACTGTGAGGTCACTGGGGCATAGCAGGGCCCAAGCCAAGTGGCCAAGAAACATCTCCAGCTGTGCTGAGCGACAGTGGTTATGCCTGAGGCAAGGCTGCTCAAGGTGGCATTGTTTGAGTTCTAGCGTGTGCAGGGGTTGGCCGGGGAAGTTGCTTCTCGGTCACTAGGGAAGCAGAGTATTCTGGGGGAGCAGCCGGGCAGTGTCCTCTTCATCAGGAAGCCCAGCTGTCAATTCTAGTGTGGCTGGAACAGAATCCTTTACGGCGGGTAAACTGAGTCTCAGAGCGGCCCACCCCACCTCTTACAAATGGTAGTTCACAGATAAATCAGCTACAGAAAGATTCCCCCACCTAACCAGGAGCTATAATTCCCAGGGGCTTACTCACATCATTTGTATACCAATAGTCACTTCTGGGAAACCTTAATTAGCGAAGAGAGCTAAAATCTATAACAGCAAATGGCCAGTTTTTTGTTTTTGTTTTTCCAAATGATAGCCTAAATGATTTTATACTTGAAAAAAATAAGGCTTTAGAAAATGTGCTTGGCTTTATATTGTGACACTGTTAAATGCCATAAGCGTTTTCAACTTTATTTATTTTTTTGAGACACGGTCTCCCCCTGTAACCCAGGCTGGAATGCAGTGGCACGATCTTGGCTTACTGCAACCTACGCCTCCCAGTTTCAAGCAAATCTCATGTCTCAGCCTCCTGAATAGCTGGGATCATAGGTGTGTGCCACCATGCCTGGCTAATTTTTTGTATTTTTAGTAGAGATGAAGTTTTACCATGTTGGCCAGGCTGGTCTCGAGTTCCTGACCTCAAGTGATCCACCCACCTCAGCCTTTCAAAGTGCTGGGAAAACAGGCAAGAGCCACTGCGCCCGGACCGTTTTCCACTTCATTAGTATTAAATGGAAAACCCAACAAAGTTGTATTCCTCAAGTTCTTAGAAAGGCTACTCATGCTTTTACCATTTCTCTGGACAAGGCTGTGATCCCTTCCTTCCATTCTTCTCTTTCATCATAACTCACTTGCCCTCTCCTCCTCACTGTCGAAGCCTGACCCTCCAAATCACATCAGACCCATACAAATCAAAGGGGGACCAGGGGAGAAGAGCAGGAAGATGTCAACTGGACTGTGGTATTCCTGGAAGCCACTCCTGCTCACTTATGTCCCTTCACCCATGACTCATAAGCAGTGCCACTCACAAAGAGGAAAACTAGAGCAAGAAGAATGGAATAAATAGCCCAGCAAAATCTGAAAATTAGATTGACACCAAGAATCCAACTGTATAAACACATTTACGATCAGAAGCGAATTAGCCAAACCCAAATACAATTTGATAGATTTCAAATTACTATAAAGGTAGATGACAACTGGCTTGAAAGCCCTGCTTATCACAGTCCTAATATGGTCAAATCTGAAAAAATCATTAGCAGTAAGACCTGACTTAGTTACCCATGATCCTTCCAATAGCTTTTATTGAACATCCTAAATTTTATGTTTATAGATATTGTTTAACAATTATGTTTTCCAAACGAAATATTGTATCTATCTTCACAAAGAGTTAAATTCCATTCTTGTCTCCAAATCCTTCTTAGTTAATATTTCCCAAAAGAAAAAAAAACTATCCTTCTCTTGATAAAGTAATGGGGACACACACTTTCCACTAACAAGGTTGCAAAGGGTATAGGGTTTGTACTTAACACGTAACTGCATAGCTATTTGCATGGCTCAGGGTATAGTTAGGAAAACAGGGCCCACACCAGGTAGTTCAACTGACGGAATTGAATGAGATTAGTTATAGAGGAGTGGAAGCACAGAAGAACTAAACAGAGAAAGGAAGCCACTTGAGATTAGCGTCATTATTGCACAGCTGCCATCTGGGGCTAGAGGACAATGGGAGAAGGTATTGGAGTCACCACAGCTCTGCAGCTGGGCTATCTGGTTGGGAGTCTGACAATGAATGGGATGAAGCCACTGCCAGAGATGTCCCCTAGAGAGAGAGGGAGAAATGCCCCTGGCTTCTGCCTTCTCTTGGCCCTCCCATCTCCAGAAACAGCCCCAACTTACAGAGCAGAGAGGGGGAAAAGGTGGCTTGGGTCTGAAAGCCACCAGCAGATGACTGCTGCACCACCACGAGGTGGACCCTGTGTGAGATCAAAATTCTCCAAGTGTCACCCTTTGTTAGTGGTGACACATTCTAATCAGCCTCCACTAAAAACAAAAATACACATTCAGATATTGTTGTGAAATATGTATTGAAGATACAGAAATACTCACACAAATATACATTGTATATTGAGATTAAACTCAACTATACTCGTCAAAAGACTATCCATCCAAATTTTCCGATGATATTAACAGGATACAGGGCTGTGGTTACTGCTTATGAGATGAACTCGTAATAAGTATCTTACATCTATATCAGAAAGATTCTCACAGTTACCAAGTTAAGACAGACAGCCTGTCACTTCAAATCAATCTAAATGCCTCTCACAAACCTAAAATCCTGTTTGTAGCTAACAGCAACAGATATTCCCCAGTTACTCTCTCCTCAGAAACTGTCCAGGCTAGAATAGTTCCTCGTTAGTGAGATACAGATTCTTTTCTAAGACACAACTACTAGTTTTAAGTCTTCCTATCCATGCAGAGGTTTCATTATTAATCTTAATAATAAAGTTTTAATTTTCTTTAAGTTAAAACATGTCAGCTGGGTAGGGTGGAACACACCCATTGTCCCAGCTATTTGGGAGGCTGAGGCAGGAGGATCGCTTGAGCCCAGGAATTTGAGACCAGCAAGGGCAACATAGCAAGACCCTGTCTTTAAAAACAAACAGAAACTCCACAAAAACAAACCAAAAAATGCCAGATAAAGCATAACCACAACATTCTCTACCTAATACATAAAAAAAGCCTTTAAAATAGCCATGGCAAAGCCTGTTTATCTTGTGACTTCTTTATTGTGTCTTAGCCTTCATACTGAAGTGTTCGACTTACTGGGTATTACATAAACCCAGTAACTGAATTTATCAGTTCTGATACAAAGTAACTATGCAAACTGGAGGACTATATAATAAATGTACACTTTGTTAAATTAACAATGCCAGTTTTACAATTAAGTTACACCTAGTCAAACAGATCAGACCTAAAAAGTTAATGAGTCTATCACCATGTTCAATTACAAGTTTGTTTTCTCTCAAGATGTCAATAAAGCCTCTAGATGATGTGCAAAGTTTATCAGGAGAAAGAAAATCAATATACTCCACACAAAGCAAAACCATGTCACAACTTTGCTGAGAAGGAGGCTGTCAGTTTATGGTACATGTCTTCAAGAAGTCTAACTTAAAACAAAAGTTGGCTAATATAACAACCCACATCCGCCCCTTCTCTGCCTGATTGTAAGTTCTTCAGTGTGCCTTGAAGTTTATTCCAGGTGTAATGCCACTCAGCCATAATTTGATGTTTATAACTTTAAGAGCAAAAGGGAGATTGTTAAAGAAGATGTTAAAAGTGATTCCTGAAAAGTAAAATAAAAGGTTTGCCCACTGCTCAAGGAAATAAAAGAGGAGACAAACAAATGGAAGAACATTCCATGCTCATGGGTAGGAAGAATCAATATCGTGAAAATGGCCATACTGCCCAAGGTAATTTACAGATTCAATGCCATCCCCATCAAGCTACCAATGACTTTCTTCACAGAATTGGAAAAAACTACTTTAAAGTTCATATGGAACCAAAAAAGAGCCCGCATTGCCAAGTCAATCCTAAGCCAAAAGAACAAAGCTGGAGGCATCACACTACCTGACTTCAAACTATACTACAAGGCTACAGTAACCAAAACAGCATGGTACTGGTACCAAAACAGAGATATAGATCAATGGAACAGAACAGAGCCCTCAGAAATAATGCCGCATATCTACAACTATCTGATCTTTGACAAACCTGAGAAAAACAAGCAATGGGGAAAGGATTCCCTATTTAATAAATGGTGCTGGGAAAACTGGCTAGCCATATGTAGAAAGCTGAAACTGGATCCCTTCCTTACACCTTATACAAAAATCAATTCAAGATGGATTAAAGATTTAAACGTTAAACCTAAAACCATAAAAACCCTAGAAGAAAACCTAGGCATTACTATTCAGGACATAGGCGTGGGCAAGGACTTCATGTCCAAAACACCAAAAGCAATGGCAACAAAAGACAAAATTGACAAATGGGATCTAATTAAACTAAAGAGCTTCTGCACAGCAAAAGAAACTACCATCAGAGTGAACAGGCAACCTACAACATGGGAGAAAATTTTCGCAACCTACTCATCTGACAAAGGGCTAATATCCAGAATCTATAATGAACTCAAACAAATTTACAAGAAAAAAACAAACAACCCCATCAAAAAGTGGGCGAAGGACATGAACAGACACTTCTCAAAAGAAGACATTTATGCAGCCAAAAAACACATGAAGAAATGCTCATCATCACTGGCCATCAGAGAAATGCAAATCAAAACCACTATGAGATATCATCTCACACCAGTTAGAATGGCAATCATTAAAAAGTCAGGAAACAACAGGTGCTGGAGAGGATGCGGAGAAATAGGAACACTTTTACACTGTTGGTGGGACTGTAAACTAGTTCAACCATTGTGGAAGTCAGTGTGGCGATTCCTCAGGGATCTAGAACTAGAAATACCATTTGACCCAGCCATCCCATTACTGGGTATATACCCAAATGAGTATAAATCATGCTGCTATAAAGACACATGCACACGTATGTTTATTGCGGCACTATTCACAATAGCAAAGACTTGGAACCAACCCAAATGTCCAACAATGATAGACTGGATTAAGAAAATGTGGCACATATACACCATGGAATACTATGCAGCCATAAAAAATGATGAGTTCATATCCTTTGTAGGGACATGGATGAAATTGGAAACCATCATTCTCAGTAAACTATCGCAAGAACAAAAAACCAAACACCGCATATTCTCACTCATAGGTGGGAATTGAACAATGAGATCACATGGACACAGGAAGGGGAATATCACACTCTGGGGACTGTGGTGGGGTCGGGGGAGGGGGGAGGGATAGCATTGGGAGATATACCTAATGCTAGATGACACATTAGTGGGTGCAGCGCACCAGCACGGCACATGTATACATATGTAACTAACCTGCACAATGTGCACATGTACCCTAAAACTTAGAGTATAATAAAAAAAAAAAAAATAAAATAAAAGGTTTGCAGTCATTACTGACCCTTATAAAATGCGTGAAAACTAGGAAAACTAATATTCTCTTTCCCAGCTCAAGGTACTTGCTCCAATAAGCTCAGATGGCTGTACCTCCTTTTCCCCTCCCCAGCCCAGGGGTGAACAGGCAGCTCTGGCCTCAGCGGTCAGAGTAAAACAGGCTCATACATGTGACCACAATGAGATACCTGTCTGAGAACCAAGCCGGTGCTCAGAAGGAAAAAGTGATGAGAGAAAGACAGTCTCCAAGAAAGAGATCACTTGTACCCTGGATCCAGCTATGCCTGATGTTTCCCCAGTTACTTATTAATTTTTATTTATTTATTTATTTTGAGATGGAGTCTCATTCTGTTGCCCAGACTGGAGTGCAGAGGCGTGACCTTGGCTCACCGCAACCTCCGTCCCGTGGGTTCAAGCAATTCTCCTGCCTCAGCCTCCCGAGTAGCTGGGATTACAGGCGTGTGCTACCATGCTGGGTTAATTTTTGTATTTTTAGTAGAGATGGGGTTTTGCCATGTTGGCCAGGATGGTCTCGAACTCCTGACCTCAGGTGATCCACCTGCCTCTCAAAGTGCTGGGACTACAGGTGTGAGCCACCCTAATCCCTGGCTGTGTTTTTCATTCTTTAATTTAGCAGTGCCCATAGGCACTTCCAAGACTGATTTCCATATTATCTGTCAGACTGCAAAACAAGGATTTTCCTTTATTATCTTTATTATCTTGGAGAAAGCTTTGACCTTAGGCGTTGTCCCCTAGATAATCTATCACTGGGGAATTTTTCAGAGCAAATGCTTCCACTATGTTTGTTGCTATTTCTTTACTTGTGCATATGATCTTGCTGTTAGCATTTCATGAAGGGTCCCTGACTCCAAACGCTTTAGAACTATGGGACAGTTGTCAAAGTTCCACGCTGCACAGCCTCCCTGAGAGTGAGCAGGAGGACCCTGCTGGCCAGATGAAGCAGCCCTCCCTGACCTCTGACTCATTCCTGGGCAGGAATGGCCATCTCAGGGGAAACTGGATCGGGATTACACACAACACAGCAACCATGTTTTTTTCTTTCCTTAGGTTTTGGACTAGTGGCTCTGGTGTGGTACCAGCTTCCCCTGCATTTCTCTCCCAATTCCAACAAACGTTTGGAGATTGTAACTTGTCTCACCTCAACATAATCGCAGTGACTTATGCGATGTCATCTGCTCAGTTTATAAATCGAGCATATCTCTTCCCTTTCAATTTTGTAGCCTAGCCCGACAATAAAAGAACATTTATTATTCTAGCTGTTCTTTCTCTCCTTTAGAAGCTAAAGGTTTCACATGCTCTCATAATATGTCAGCTTCAAGAACATAACGGCACCCAAAACATTTGCTAGTTGCATGTTTAGGCCAAGCTTTCCAGCTTTTGTGCTCAGATAAATAAGATGTTAAAATATCTGGTTGTTAACATGGAATATTTCCTTTTGTAATCTCCCACCACCGAGTGTTCGACTCCATGATTTGACCTCCAGGAGAGGACATATAAACGAACATGTGTTAGCTGGTAATTATTTACGAGAAACTGAGGAGACAGGTCACAATTTTGAAAATTCCTTATGACTCACCATCCCTAGATGAGTTACTATATTCCTAACATTTTCTAGGGAGTCTCTAGAAGACAGTATTATTTTACATTTATTTCTAAATGTGCAAAACACTTATTCTAATTAACAATGGCAAACAATGTAGACGAGCTATGTAATCATTTCACTGTCTGGGTTAATTATCTTCCAGGCCAAGCACACTGGCCGAGCAAGGCCTTGTAGACTTTCTAACCTCCTTGCCTCACTGCCTCCCACCTCACCTGCCCACCTCTCCCTTGGCCTGCCATGGAGACCCTTTGAGGAGGGGCTGGACTTCCCCCCTTCACTCTGGCCCCTTGCTTGTGGTTTGAGCTCAGCAGGATCTGTCTTCTTCCTCTGCTTTGTCCACTCATTTTGCCTTTCAAAGCCCTAGATGTCTTTCGGCCTCAGTGTATCTATCTTCAACCCTGGAGGCCTTCCTTGATCCTGTCCCTGTTTTAGCTAGTCCTCAATTATGTCCGGTGCCTAAGCTCTCCATAAGATACATCCACCAGTGTGTCATGTCAGTTTACCATTGCCATGGCAACATCCAGGAGTTACCAGCCCTTTCCATGGCAATGACCCAATGACCCAGAAGTTACTACTCTTTTCCTAGAAATCTCTGCATAAACTGCCCCTTAATCTGCATGTAATTACAAGTAGGTATAAACATGACTGTAGAACTGCCCTGAGCTGCTACTCTCTGCCTGCAGGGTAGCCCTGCTCTGCAGAAGCAGTCACAGAGCTGTAACACCACCGGAGCTATAACACTGCTGCTTCAATAAAGTGGTTTTCCTCTACTGTCAGCTTGTTCTTGAATTCTTTCCTAGGTGAAGCTAAAAACCCTCTTGAGCTAATCCCCAATTTAGGTCTTCCCTCCCCAACATCACTATTCTTGGGAATTAAGTAATTCACTCTGTTCTCTCCCTGCTCTTTGGTTAGTCTGCAGTGTCCTTTTTTTTTTTTTTTTTAAGACTTTGATATTCCATCTTTTGAGTTACAATTGGGACAACTGAGAGAGGGGAAGAGCTGGAGTGGGGTGAGAACTAGGAGGGCTCAACAGCTGGAGGTGTAGTTCACTTAGTTTTTGTACTGGAAGGGTTCATCACTGGTTTCATTGAGAAGTCAGGTGCGACGAGAGCTTCTGTCACCTACATATTCCTCCTAACATTTACTGCTGCTGTTGAATCCATTGTGCTGTTTATTTGGAAAATCCCCCCCACTCCCTGGACCAAGTGAGAGCGGAACAGCCAGACCTGAGAAATGCAGCCACAGCAACTTCACAGTGTCCAGTCTAGGCAGGGAAAGTGCAAGAGAAACATACCTTTTGATAGCAATACTTCACAAAATGATAATATAACTGGTTTGTTGGCTATGAGCAAAAAGAAATATTGAGCAATAAAAAAACAGCCTAGCTTTAAAACATTTTAAATGACTTTAGACTTGGAATCTAAACTTTTTTCGTTCAAAAGTCCTTGTTTCTTTAGCAAGTAGAATTTAAAGCTTCTTTTTATTCGTGTCTTCTTTATTGCAGGCAGCACAAGCCATCATAAACATTCCACTCAAGATAAACTGGGCAAAGGCAAGTGCTTAACACAATTTAATACTTTCTCACATTCTATATATTTACTTTATTTCCTCATTAGGAAAAGAAGAAAATAAAATGTAATTTGTAAATTTACCTATAAACCATATACCGGAAAACTAAGATGAATAAAACTGGAAAATAAATGTTACACTGAGTTTTTTCTTTTAACATGCCAGTACAAGTGATAACCAATGGAAGAATTAAAAACTCAACCAGCCATCCTACTTATGTAAAATATATATCGATGGGCGTAGACATGTGTGCTTTATACATATGATCATCCCTCAGTATCCAGGAGGGACTGGTTCCAGAAACCCCCTGCAGACAGCAAAATCTGCAGATGCTCAAGTCCCTGATATAACATGGTGTAGTATTTGCATATAACCTAAGCACATCCTCCTGTGTACTCTAAATCATCTCCAGATCATGTAGAATACCTAATACAATGTAAATGCTGAGTATATAGTTGTTACACTGCATTACTTTTTAAATTTGTTTTTAAATATTGTGTTATTTTTTGTTTTTATTTTTGAATATTTTCAGCCGATGATTGAACCCAAAAATGCAGAAGCTGTGGATATCAAGGGCTGATGTTACATAGATTGACTGAAAAATTTCGGAGTCCAATTAATACTGCATCTAAAATAAGTTAAATAACATCAAACCTTTTGTGTCATAAGGACACCATTAAAGTTATTTATTTGTTTATCTCTCCTCTATTTTTTGAGAAATGTATGCTGTGTTGGAGAGGCAAAGAAGGAGGATGGCAAATAGTGCAGCATCATCCGGTTGCTAAGAGGCATATGTAAAAACAAAGAAACATCCCACAAGGCAAGAAGAGGAACTGTTAGAGTGAACGATGCTCCCTCTTAGCCCAGGCTTATCATTATAGAACAATTCTCAGGCGATGGCATCTATGGGCACAGTTTGTGTGTGAGGGCAAAAGACTCCTGTACAGCTCATGCCCCCACCAGGAGAGAAAAGTTGGTGGCCCCGGCCTTCCATCACTGTTGGGGAAAAGTCAGGAAGAGTCAGTTCTTCCAAAGGGGAAAAAAAATTTTTTTTTTAATCTAAAGAAAATTCTTCAGGGCTGGGCATGGTGGCTTATGCCAGCACTTTGGGAGGCCGAGGCAGGCGGATCACCTGAGATCAGGAATTTGAGACCAGCCTGGCCAACGTGGTGAAAACCCGTCTCTACTAAAAATACAAAAAATTAGCTGGGTGTAGTGGGGCGCGCATGTAATCACAGCCACTAAGGAGGCTGAGGCAGGAGAATCGCTTGAGCCCAGGAGGCAGGGGTTGCATGAGGCGAGATCCCGCACTGCACTCCAGCCTGAGCAACACGGCGAGACTCCGTCTCAAAAAAACAAAATAAAATAAAATAAAATAAATAAATAAAAAGAAAAATTTTCAGGAAACATAACTAGGACACAATAAAGTGTTTCAATCAGGTTTAAACATAACTTGAGAATATAAGAATTTTAAAATTTAATTAAAAGCTAAAAAAGAAGAGTAAAAACAGAGAAAACCTATTAATAAAATGGAAATCATGAGTGAAAGCTCAGAGCCATGAACACGACAGTGAGGACATCAATATATAAATCATAAACACAGAGAAGCGGAACCCAAAAAAAAATTGCAGAAAAGATCTTCTGTGGGTTAAAGCTACCCAATGGATAATACCAGTACTACAGAGCATTTTCATTGACTGCCTGATTATTATAACATGTTTGGTAAGTTACTTAATCAAATTTATGGTAGCTGTCTTTATCATGTTTAATTTAGCTGATTTTTAAAAAAATATTTACAATGAGCTTTATCTTTTTTTTATACTTTAAGTTTTAGGGTACAAGCGCACAACGTGCAGGTTAGTTACATATGTATACATGTGCCATGTTGGTGTGCTGCACCCATTAACTCATCATTTAACATTAGGTATAGCATTAGGAGACATACAATGAGCTTTAGTACAAACAGCTTCTAAGTTTGATCAAGTGATTTGGATTCACTATGGACATAATCACACACATCTCTTTTAAGCTTTAGATAGCATGAATTAAATTGATGGATATGTGAAGATTATGATATCCTGACACTTTGAAATAAACACTTACTCCTTTCTTACTTTCATAGTGCCTGGAAATATATATATACACCATCCAGGGCCTGGGGATCAAACAGCCTTACCCGTTACAGCTGGTGCCCATGCACATCAGGGGGCCTGAGGACAGGTCTGCCTTCCTGCTGCTGTTCCCACCAGTGCGTGGATATACCATCAACTGGGAGCCTGGGGGTCAACCTACCATACCTGTTGCCACTGGCAACTGTGTATGATTGCAGGGCCTGTCAACAGGTCTGCCCTGTCCTTGATGCCTGTGCATACCATCTGGGGCTTGAGGATAGGTCAGTTACACCCCCCACCACCTCTGCTGGCACCCAAGCATGCTATATGGGGACCTGGGGACCAATGTGTCCCAGCCGCCACAGCCTGCACCCACACACACTATTGGGGACCTGAGGACAGGACTGCCCCACCTGATGCTACCACTGACAGTGCCTGCATGCTTCATCTGGAGACCTGGGGATTGATCTGCCCCACATGCTGCTATTAATGGCTATGAGCACCTTCCAGGGCCCTGACGATGGGCCTGCTCAGCCTGCCGGTGCCCACATACTTTGACTGTGGGACTGGGGAACGACCCTCCCTGTCTGCTACCACCAGGGCTCACACACAACTCCCAGAGGACTGAGGATGGGCCCACTCAGCCGGCTGCCATCACCACTGCTGGCCATCTACCCATATGCATCACCTGGAGGCCTGAGCACTGGCTTGCTTACCCTGCCACCACCACCACTGGTGCCTGCATATGCTGACTAGGAACCAGAGATGTGGCTTGCCACTACTATTGCCATGAATGATGCCACACACCACCCAGGAGCCCAAGGACCAGCCTGCCCTCCCAGCCCACTGCCACCACTGCCAGCACATAAGCAGACTATCTGGAGGCCCAAAGTTTGGCATACCCAAACCACTGGTGCCACCACTGTGCCCGAAGACCAGCCCACTTGGTGTCCCTGTCCCCACAAAAGCTTCACTGCAACCTCTACTAACAAGTGCTGCCCGAGCCACTGAAGAGATCACAGACACAACTGATGCTGATTACAGCTGAAGAAATCATTGAGACATTACACTGCTGTGCCCAGCTAGAATCAAAGCCAAGGTGACCTACCAAAGCAACATTATAAATACATCTGTAGAAAAAAGTAGTCTTTTTCTAAAAAAGCCAATCCATAAAATTGGAAGAAGCAACTGCTACATCAGAGGCACTGTAAAAAGCTCAATGAGATATGATAGAACACAAATAAAAGATACGAAATATCAGAAAAACAATTCATGATCTGAATGAGAAACTAAACAAAGAGAAAGATATTTTTAAAAATGTCTAAACAAAAATCCTGGATCTGGAGAATTCAATGAATGAAATAAAAATACAATTGAGGGCTTCAAAAAAAGATGAGATCAGGGAGAGGAAAAAAGAATTCTGAACTTGAAAAGAGATCATTTGAAATAACCCAGTTAAAAAATTTTAAAAAATTATTAAAAAATAAAGTAAGCCTATGGGATATATGGGACACCACAAAGCAAACAAATGGAATTTGGGGTGTTCCAGATGGTGAAGTGATGATCAAAGACATGGAAAGCCTATTTAACAAAATAATATCTGAAAACTTCTCAAGTCTTGCAAGAGACTTAGACATCCAGATACAAAAAGCTCCAAGAATCCCAAATAAATTCGACTCAAAAATGTCTTTTTCAAGGAACATTAGAGTCAGACTGTTAAAAGTTAAAGACAAACAGAATTCTAAAAACAGTAAGAGAAAAGTGTCATGTCATATATAAAGCTATCCCCATCAGACAAACAGCAGATTTCACAGCAGAAACCTTACAGGCAAGAGAGAATAGGATGATATAGAGTGCTGAATGAAAAAACATGCTAGGAAAGAATATTCTACCAACAAAGCTATCTTTCAAAAAGAAAGGAGAAATTAAGTCTTTCCCAGACACAAACAGAAGGAATTCATCACCACTAGACAAGTCTTATGAGAAATGCTCAAGGAAATTCTACATCTGGAAGGAAAAGGACAATATGTACCATCACGAAAACACACAAAAGTGCAAAACTCAATGGTAGAGCAGACACACAAAGGAGAAATGAAGGACTCAAATGCTACTATTACAGAAAACCACCAAACCACAATGATAAACAACAAAAGGGAAAGAAGGAACAAAGCATATGCGAAACAACCAGAAACAACTAATAAAATGATGGAAATAAGTCTTTACTCATTAATAATAACTTCAAATGTAAATGGATTAATTTCCCCCATAAAAGATAATAAATGGCTAAATGAATTTTAAAAAATGGCCCAACTGGCCAGGCGTGGTGGCTCATGCCTGTAATCTCAGCACTTTGGGAGGCCGAGGCGGGCGGGTCACCTGAGGTCACGAGTTTGAGACCAGCCTGCCCAACACAGTGAAAGTCCATCTCTACTAAACATACAAAAAATTAGCCTGGAGTGGTGGTGGGTACCTGTGATCCCAGCTACTCAGGAGGCTGAGGCAGGAGAGTTGCTTGAACCCAGGAGGTGGAGCTTGCAGTGAGCCAAGAGCACACCACTGCACTCAGCCTGGGTGATGAGAGTGAAACTCCGTCTCAAAAAACAAAACAAAACAAAGCAACAACAAAAAAATGGCCCAACTATATGATGCCTACAAGAAAAACACTTCACCTATAAAAACACATAAAGATGACAGTGAAAGGATAGAAAAAGTCATTCCATACAAATAAAAACCAAAAGTGGACAATAGTAGCTATACTTACATCAGATAAAACAGATTACAAGTCAAAAAATCTAAAAAGAGACAAAGAAGGCTGGGCACGGTAGCTCACGCCTGTAATCCCAGCACTTGGGAGGCCAAGGAGGGCAGAAGTCTTGAGGTCAAGAGTTCGAGACCAACCTGGCCAACATGGTGAAACCCCATCTCTACTAAAAATACAAAAATTAGTTGAGTGGGGTGGTGGCGCACCTGTAATCCCAGCTACTAGGGGGGCTGAGGCATGAGAACTGCTTGAACCTGGGAAGCAGAGGTTTAAGTGAACTGAGATCGAGCCACAGCACTCCAGCCTGGGCAAAAGAGTGAGATTCTGTCTTTAAAAAAGAGAGAGAGAGACAAAGAAGATCATCATATAATGAAACATGTATCAATTCAGCAAAAGGATGTAACAATTCTAAATATATGTGTACCCAATAGCAGAGCACCCAGATATATTTTTTAAAAAATTATAGATTGAAAGGGAGAGATAGACCCTGATACAACAGTTGGGGGCTTCAATGCCCCTATTTCAGCACTGGATAGATCTATGAGATAGAAAATAAAGAAACACTGGATTTAAATTGCACTTATGACCAAATGGAATTAACAGACTTCTACAGAACATATTATTAAGCTGCAGAATACACTTTCTTCTCATCGGCACATGGAACACTCTCTAGAATAGATCATATATTAGGACATAAAAGAAGTCTCAAGAAATTTGTTAAAATCAAAATCATATCAGATATTAATATCTTTTCAGACAACAACAGAATAAAACTAGAAATGATAGCAAGAGAAACTTTGGGAACTGTACAAATACACGGAAATTTAACAACATGCTCCTGAATGACCATTAGGTCAAGGAAGAAACTAAGAAGAAAACCAAAAAATTTCTTGAGAGAATTAAAAATGGAAATGTAATATATTAAAACCCGTGAAATACAGCAAAAGTACTGCTAAGAGAAAAGTTTATAGCAATAAACACCTACATCAAAAAAGTAGAAAGACTTCAAATTAACAACCTAACAATGTACCTTAAAGAACTAGAAAAGAAAGGACAAAGGAAACCCAAAGTTAGTAGAAGGAAAGAAATAATAAAGACCAGAGTGGAACTAAATGAGATAGAGACAAGAAAAATGTAAAAAGGATTACAACAATAACAACTTGGTTTTTGAAAAAGATAAAAATCACAAACTACTAGTTAGAATAACCAAGAAAAAAGATAGAAGACTCAAATAAAAAAAGCATACACGAATAGGAGACATTACCACTAGCACCACAGAAATACAAAGAATCATTAGAGACTATTATAAACAACTACATGCCAACAAATTGGAAAATCTAGAGGAAATATATAAACCTTGGACACATACAACCTACCAAGAATGAAGTAGGAAGAAAGAAAACCTAAGCAGACCCATAATGAGTAGTGAGATTAAAGCAGTAATTAAAAGTCCCCCAACAAGGAAAGGTCCAGGACAAGACGGATTAACTGCAGAATTCTATCAAATTTATATAGAAAAGCTAAAAGCAATTCTTAAACTATTTCAAAAAGGTGAAGAGGAAGAGATTCTTCCTAATGCATTCTACGTGGCCAGCATTACATTGATACCAAAACCAGATAAGGATACAAGAACAAAAGAAAGGAATAGGCCAAGATCACTGTCTTAGTCGATTTGTCTTGCTATATTGGAACACCTGAGACTGGATAATTTATAAAGAACAGGGGTTTATTTGACTTACGGTTCTGCAAGCTGTAAAAGAAGCACTGAGCCAGCACCTGCTTCTGGTGAAGGGCTCAGGCTGCTTCCAACCACAGCAGAAGGCAAAGGAGAAACAGCATGTGCAGAGATCATGTGACATGACAGAAGGCAAGAGAGCAGGTGAAGGTGCCAGGCTCTTTTTTAAACAACCAGCTTTCATGAGAACTAATACAGCCCCTTACCTGAGACAGGGCATTAATCTATTCATGAGGAACTGCTCCCATGACCCAAACACCTCCCACTAGGCCCTACCTCTAACATTGGTGATGAAATTTCAACATAAGATTTGGGTGGTCAAATATCCAAACTATAGCAACCCGTTATGAACATCAATGCAAAAATCCTCAACAAAATAGCATATCATGATCAAGTGAGATTTTTCTCAGGGATGTAAGAATGGTTGAACATAAACAGATCAATAAATGTGATACATCACATCAAGATAATGAAGGACATATAGAAGCATGGTGTGCAGAAAAAAAAAAAAGAAAGTGAAGGACAAAACCCATATAATCATCTGAATAGATGTAGAAAAAGCTTTCGACAAAATTCAACATTCCTTCATGATAAAACATCAACAAACTAGGCATAGAAGGAACATACCTAATGGGGAAAAGGTGAACGTCTATCCTCTAAAGGACTGAAACATGACTAGGATGCCCACTCTCACTACTCCAATTCAACATAGTACTGAAAGTACTAGCCAAGTCAATCAGGTACAAGAAAGAAAAGTCATCCAAACTGGAAAAAAGAAAGTCAAGTTGTCCCTCTTTGCAGACAACATGATCTTATATACAGAAAAACCTAGACTCCACCAAAAAACTCTTAGAACTAATAAATACAGTAAAGTTGGAGGACACAAAATCAACATGCAAAAATCAATAGTGTTTCTCTATACCAATAACAAACTAATTGAAAAAAAAATAAAGAAAGCAATCCCATTTACAATAGCTACCAAAAAATCTACTTAGGAATAAATTTAACCAAGGAGGTAGAAGACCTTTGCAAGGAAAACTACAAAACACTGATGAAAGAAATTGAAGATGACACAAACCAATGGAAAGACATGCCCTGCTCATTGACCGAATTAATATTGTTAAAATGACTGCTCAATGCAATCCCTATCAAAATAACAATATCATTCTTCATAGAAATAGAAAAAAAAAAAACAGTCCTAAAATATGTATGGAACCACAAAAGACCCTGAGTAGCCAAAGCAATCCTGGGCAAAAGAACAAAGCTGGAGGCATCACACTACCTGATTTCAAAATATTCTGCAAAGCTATAGTAACCAAAACAGTAGGGTACTGGTATAAAAACATACACATAGAGCAATGGAACAAAATAGTGAACCCAGAAATCAATTAGTGTATTTACAGCCAACCATCTTCAACAAAGGTAACAATGACAAACATTGGAGAAAGGACACTACAATAAAAAGTGCTAGGCAAGATGTATACAAGAAGAATGAAACTAGACCCTTATCTCTCACTATATGCAAAAATCAAGGCAGAATGACTTAAACATAAAACCCCAAAGTATAGAACTACTAGAAGAAAACAAGGAAAACATTCAGGACATTGGTCTAGGCAAAGATTTTTATGGCCATGAGCTCAAAAGCACAGGCAATAAAAAGTACATAAATGGGACTATATTAAGCAAAAATGCTTCTGTGCAGCAAAGGAAACAATCAACAGAAACAACCTGTAGAATGGGAGAAAATATCTCCAAACTATTCATTCAACAAGGGACTAATACCCAGAATACACAAGGAACTCAAAAAACTCAAAAGCAAAAATACAAATAAACCCATCAAAAAGTGAGCAAAAGGTTAGAATGGACACTTCTCAAAAGAAGACATACAAATGGCCAACAGGTATATGAAAAAAAATTAAATATTACTAATCATCAAGGAAATGCAAGTCCAAACAGCAATAAGATATCATCTTACCTCAGTATGGCTATTATCAAAAAGACACAAAATAACAAATGTTGGTGAGAATGTGGAGAAAAGGCAACTCTTATACACTGTTGTAACCTGTAAATTAGTACAGCCATTCTGGAAAACAGTATGCAGGCATCTCCAAAAACTAAAAGCACAAGGTGGCTTACGCCTGTAATCCCAGCACTTTGGGAGGCTGAGGTGGGAAGACTGCTTGAGTCCAGGAGTTTGAGACAAGTCTGGGCAACATACCAAGACCCCATTTTCACAAAAAATTAAAAAATCCCCAAAATTAGAGCTACCATATGATCCAATAATCCCATGACTAGGTATTTATCCAAAGGAAGGAAATCAGCATATCAAAGGGATACCTGTACCCCCATGTTTATTGTAGCACAATAGGTCAAGATATGGAGTCAACCTGTGTAAATCCAACAGATAAATGGATAAAGAAAACGTGGTGTGTACACACACACACACACACATACACACGAGTACTAATCAGCCACAAAAAGGGTGAAATCCTATGCTTGCAGAAACCTGGATGAACTAGAAGTCATTATGTTAAGCAAAATAAGCCAGGCACTGGACAAATACCTTTCCAAAGTCAAAGGTGAACATTAATCCCATTCTGGTTACTGGACCTTTATTGAACTGACCCAAATAAAAGGTTCCTATATGTTTCTTCAAGCCAGCAGTATCTACATACTTTACTTTAAACCCCGCTTATTTTCTTTTTGGCTGATTTGCCAAAATGTGGTTGACTGATCCATCAAAAATAATACTGTAATCTCTAATGGTATTCCAAATTTACTGAAATTAATTTGCGTCTTTATTTTCCCCAATTTTTAGCTCCTCTTAATCAAATTTACATGTAACTGGTATAAGTAATTTCAGCTAATTAAATGAAGAATAGCAGACTCTCTATTTGTTATAAATTTAATAGTTACGTTAACATGTATTGCTATTTCAATACTTTTATATTTACATAGATAACAACACTATTCAGCATTAGTTAGTATATGTGAAGGGAACAGTATAAGTATGAAAAACAGCCTACCCCCAAAATATATTTTTAGATACAGGAGAAGTTTATGATTAAGTTGTACAATTTTCTAGGGGAAAAACGTTTTATTTTTTTTTTAAATTAACATGGAGAAAGCACCTAAATCATCATGCTTCAAAAGGAAATCACGCTGAAAACAACCCAACCACTTACATGTGCCCCTTGACATTGGACTCATATCAGCGGGTAGCTAGCTCACAACTGAAATGACCCATAAATCTTGCAAACCTAGTCTACCTCTATACACATAAAAGAGCAAGCTTCAATTGCGTTCTCGAATGACAATAAGTATGTACAATGAAATACGTAATAAACTGAGATCTAGGTGGCTAGCACATTCGACGCAACGTGCTCTATTCCATAGACAATTCCATTCTACTTCTTGGTGCATTAAATGAAGTTATTTTCCTTATATACATAGATCTGTATACTCATTAAATATAGTGACTTCTGCGAAAAAATTTATTTCTACCCTGCAGTGGAAGCCTAGGAAAACATTAATTTTATGTTACTGAGAGGTACAAACTACAACCTTCTCCTTAGAACAGGAGGTATAAAAATCAGCCTCCTGGGGTTCTGTTGCTAATTCCTCTGGACGGCTGGGAACTTGATCTAAGCCATTCCACATAACTGGACATCATTTACAACTTGTGGGTTTTGTGCAGTGTCTCTGTGCCTTCCTACATGGGGACTCAATCACATAAGCAAGAAATTTCTTTTCCCCAGTCACCTAACTCAGTACCAGCCAGCTAGATGGCATCTCTCAAGGCACTGTGGTAGAGGCATGGTGGCTGTTACTCATATTACACTTTTCCAATCAGTTGGGTCAATCTGTCTACTCAGAACATACTAAGTGATATCAGGCACCTGCTATTCTGTGGTGACTGTGAAATACTCTTCCTCACTCTACATGTACAAATCTAGTTTCTTTTCAGAAAACCAGCAGTTAGTGATAGAAACACCATTCCCAAACCAAAATACATGAGGGTAAACTCAAGTTGGACAGAGTTATCAATATTTTTTAGCTGCAAACATTCCTTTCATCACCAACACCTGGTGCTCAATGAATGTATCATTACTTGGCTGGTTATATATAAGCCCATCTGTGCAAAAATGGCCAAAAGCCCTCTCGTAGTTGGCTGGACCTGTGTCCTAAAATACAGGAGCCAGGTAATGACGAGCTTTGATGACCTTCATAACCATGGGAAAGACAGCTGACAGAAATGGTTTATATGGCAATAATGTGGAAATAAAGAACCACATATACTGCAAAATATATTAAAAAACATAAAACATATATTATATGGTTATTATATAGCCCTTTTAAATACAATAGTCATCTTTTCTTTATAGGGATTTTTGGGAAGTATGAGATTTCCCATCTAAGATTTAGTGAGGAAGCAGTAACTATATCACTTTTGGATAGTCTATGAATATGAGAATAATGAGTTGACTATTTTCAGCCCATTTATCAGCCTTAACTCCTCAAACACACAAAGTAGATACACTGTCATAAATCTTTATTCGTGCTATGATGGTTGCCAAGAAACGCTTCATTTCTCAGTAAATCATAGTTGGCATGAAGTCATGTGTTGCTAAATATTTTATAACCTCCTCTTATGAACCTGGAAACAATCTATTAACTACACATATGAAAACCCCCATATATTTGCATGTAAATAAATATTTATTTGTTTTGTCCAATTTCCATCTTTATCTGACAAAGATAAAATGAGTGTAACCTCAGCAGGCAATTCACATGTGGCCAGGGCTCCATCCAGTTATCCTAGTTACAGCTTTCTACTCTGGTAGCAGGTAGCTACTGTTTCATTAGCTACAGTTTGTATATCAGGCTTAGACTGCCATTCCTAAAAAACAACAACATTTATTTACACTTTCAATAAGAGGAAGTTTCAGCGAATTGCCTGGGCTCCAGGAAAGTCTTGAGAGAATAAAAGATAGTGTAAGAGAAATCCAATCCCGTTATACATACTTGCAGTGTAAATTTGTCATCGGGTCAATTTCCAGTATATTTCCTAACCCCCAAAATGCCTCAATATAAATGGGATCTTCAGGGAAATCATACTGTGGAAATAAGTAATTTATGGTGTCAGTTTGTTTCCAAAGATGAGTAGTGTGAACTGAGTATGTGTGTTTAGGTAATTTTCCTCACAATCCCATAATCATTTTCTAGTCTTTTGAGAATGAAAAACATTCTACTTTATTTTGTCCTCTTAACACACAAAAACATTTGATAGAAAGATAAGTAGATTCTCAGTAGATTTAGGAAAGGGTGAAGAAGGATTTCTAACAACCGCAACACAGAATTATACACAGCTTGCCTCCACCACAAGCGATTCTCCTATAAACCCCTCTTCACACCTCTCAGAATCATTGCCACAGTGAGCTATCAAGTCTCAGCAATAACAACGAACAAAATCAGTGTCAACTGCTTAGAGAAGAGGCAGTCTGGATAAATGTAAAATTGACAACCTGCTTGGGGTGGGGCGGAGGAGATGTCACTGCAATTGATTTCAGGAAGTGAACTCCTCTTGTGCCCATCTGGACACTGGACTTTACTGGTGACTGTTGCTGTAACAGCATCATGAAAAAGAGTGACTGTCCCTACCTCGGAATTGCTCCACAATTCCTGAAAAATAAAAACGTGTCTTGTAGTGAAAAGGTGAAAGCACAAGCAGTGAATCCCCATCTATGCATGAGCAAATATTTCATGGCACGTCCATTTATGCAATGGCATTCATTTTGCATTTTCTATGTGCTAAGCAATGTGCGAGGTCCAAGAGTCACACGAAATAAAGCACAATGCCCGAGCCAAGAAGGTGGCAAGAGGTGAGGAGTGATTGCACTATGGTGATTGTTAGCTGCAGTGGTAGGCACAGATAGGAATGATGAAATGGAACTACTTTTGTTACCAAGACTAATGCACCAAAACATGAATGTGGGAAAACAGGACACTTTGGTCAGCTAATTTCCGCAAACAAGCTTTAGAGGACTTTTTTACTTGATGCATATGGATGCCAGATTTTAGATTCCACAGACCAAAATAATAATAGCAATAACAATAATAATAAATGATGAACTGAGTTACTAGCAACTTGAAAAATACTGATAATTATATTTCAAAGAAATACTAATAGTAACAAGATGCTTATATTAATGGTAAAATTAACTATGCGTGAGTTCTTTAGAACAAAATTTTGTTTTAAAGACTTACATTTAAAGACTTGTTATATTTTTCCATCCATCTACTGAAGGACATCTTGGCTGCTTCCAAGTTTTGGCAATTATGAATAAAGTCGCTATAAATATCCATGTGCAGTCTTTTGTGTGGACATAAACTTTTAATTCATTTGGGTAAACAGCAAGCAGTTAAATTGCTGGATCGTATGGTAAGACTATGTTTAGTTTTGTAAAAAACTGCCAGACTGTCTTCCAAAGTGATGAGACCATATTGCGTTCCCATCAGTAATGAATAAGAGTTTTTCTTGATTCCCATACTCCCCAGCATTTGGTGGTGTCAGTGTCCTGGATTTTGGCCATTGTAATAGATGTGTACTGGTATCTCATTGTTTGTTTGTTTTTTTAAATTTTAATTTCCCTAACATGGTAAGACGTTGAGCATCTTCTTATATGCTTACTTGCCATGTTTATATCTTCCTTGAGAAGTATCTGTTCAGGTCTTTTGCCCATTTTTAATCAGGTTGTCTGTTTTTGTATTGTTGAGTTTTTAAAGTTCTTTGTATATTTTGGATGGTAGTTTTTCATTAGAGATGTCTATTTAAATTTTTTCTCCCAGTCTATGGCTTGTTTCATTCTCTTGACAGCTGCTTTTCAAAGAGCTGAGGTTTTGTATTGTAATAAAATCCAGCTTATCAATTATTTCTTTCATGGATTATGCACTTGGTATCGTATCTAAAAAGTTATTACTATACCTAAGGTCATCTATGTTTTTTCCAGTGTTACTTTCTCGGAGTCTTATAGTTCTGCACTTTAACAGTGAGGACTATGAAAGTTTTAATTTTGTAAGGAGTACAAGATCTGTTTCCAGATTTTTTTGTTTTTGCATGTTTGCATCCAGTTGTTCCAATACCATTTGCTGAAAGACTACACTTTCTCCATTGTATATTCTTTGCTTCTTTGTTAAAGATCATTTGACTATGTATGGGTCTACTTTTAGGCTGTCTATTGTGTTCCATTGATCGATTTGTCTATTCTTTTACTATTACCACACTGTTTTGATTACTGTAGTTTTGTATAGTTAAGCCTTAAAATTGGATAGTGTCAGTCCTCTGACTTTATACTTCTATTTCAATACTGCAATGGCTAGTCTGGGTCTTTTGCCTCTTCATATAAACTTTTGAATCAGTTTGTTGATATTCACAAGTTAACATGCTGGACTTTTTATTGTGATTGCATTGACTCTAGATAAAATTGGGAAGAATTAACATTCTGACAATATTGAGTCCTCCTATCCATGAACACGGGCTATTTCTCCATTTATTTAGTTAATTTCTTTCATCACAGTTTTGTAATTTTCCTCATACAGATCTTGGACAGTTTTGTTAGTTTACCTAAATATTTCATTTTTAGAGGAGCTAATAATATTTTTAGAGGAGCTAATATGTTATTGCGTTCTTAATCCGAAATTCCACTTGTACATTGCTGGTACAGAGGGAAGCAATTGACGTTTGCACATTAAACCTGTATCCTGCAACCTTGCTATAATTACTAACTAGTTTGGGGGATTTTTTTGGTCAATTCTTTTGTATTCTCCACATATATAATGATGTCATCTGCTACCAATGATAGTTTTATTTCTTCCTTCCCAATTTTATATGTTTTGTTCCATTTTCTTTTGTTCTTGCATTAGTTAGGCCTTCCAGTAAAATGCTGAAAAGGAGTGGTAAGAAATGACATTCTTGCATTGTTCTTGATCTTAATGGCAAAGAGTCTAGCTTCTCACCATTGAGTATGATGCCCACTGTAGGTTTTTTGTAGATATTCCTTATCAAGTTTAGAAAGTTCCCCTGTATCTCTAGTTTGCAAATAGCTTTTTTTTTTTTTTTTTTTTAAATCATGAATGGGTGTTTGATTTTGTCGAATGCTTTTTCTGCATCTACTGATATGGTCATTTGATCTTTCTTCTTTAGCCTGCTGATATGATGGATTATATTAATTGATTTTCAAATGTTGAACACCCTTGTAGATCTGTCATAGATCTCAGTTGGCTGCATGTTATAATTTTTCAATACATTGATTTGCTCATATTTTATTGAGGAATTTTGCATCTATACGCATGCAAGATCTTGGTCTGTAGTTTTCTTTTCTTGCAATATCTTTCTCTGTTGTTTGTAGTAGGGTAATGCTGGCTTCATAGAGGGAATTAGAAAGAATTTCTGCAGTTTCATCCTTCTGAAAGAGATTGTATAGAACTGGTAAAATTTCTTCCTTAAATGTTTTGTGGAATTCACTAGTGAACCTAACTGGAGCTGGTGCTTTCTCTTTGGAAGGTTATTAATTCCTGATTCAATTTTTAAGATAGGTACCATTCTTTTCAGACTGTCTATTTCTTCTACTGTGAATTTTACTAGCTGTGCCTTTCAGGGAATTTCAGCTACATTATCAGATTGTAAATATAGATTTGTTCATAATATTCCTTTATAAGCCTTTCATTGTTCATGAGATCTATTGTGATGTTCTTTTATTTCCAATGTTAGTAATTTGTGTTTCCTTTCTTACTTAACATGGATAGTCTTATTGATTTTTTAATCTTTTCAAATAACCATTTTTTTTTTTGCTTCATTCATTTTTCTCTATTGATTTCGTATTTTCAATTTCATTGATTTTTTGCTCTAAATTTAATACTTCTCTTCCACCTTTGGATTTAATTTGCTCTTCTTTTTCTACTTTTCTAACATAGAAACTGAGATGATTTATTTTAGGTCTTTTTCTCTTCTAATATATTCATTCAATGCTGTAGATTTCTCAAAACACTGCTTTCACTGTATCCACACATTTTAATAAGTTATATTTTCATTTTCATCTGATTTCAAATACTCTTGTGATTTATTATTTGACTCATGTGTTACTGAGAAGTTTGTGTTTAATTTCCACGTCTTTTGGGATTTTCCATCTGTCTTTCTGTCATTATAGTGTAATTCCACTGTAGTCGAGAGCAAATATTCTATGATTTCTATTCTTTTAAATTTGTAAAGGTGGCTGTTTTATGGCCCAGAATGTTCTGTGTCCTGGTGAATGTTTCATGATAGCTTGAGAAGAATATGTATTCTGTTGTTGTTGGTGGTGGAAGTGGTCTATAGAGGTCAATTATATCCAGTTGATCAATGGCTGCAATGAGAAAATCCCAGAATCATACAGAAAAACCTTCCCCCAAATTGGGAGGTTGTTGACAAAAAAAAAAAAAAAAAAAATTTGGACATGTCCAGTTTGGCGAGTAGATGGGTTATAAGGACTTATATATGAGGACCTCCTGGATGGCAGCAGGACAGCTTTAGAGCTCCACACCACCTCTTGTTCTTAAACTACTTTTAAGCGAATTTTCTGAATTTTTGTATATTGTGTTTAAGTGCTGAGACTATTTTTCTTGCTAGGTTCTCAGACACTTTCTAGGATGCTTAGGTTCTCAGGAACACCTGCTACTTGGCTGAGCCCCATAGCCTTGGCTCACTGCCTGGTCTTCAAGGTTTAGGTGGTAGACATATACCCTTGGCTAATGGGTGGGAGACTCATCATGCTACAATGGTGCTGCTGAGTTCAACTATGTCCTTACTGATTATTTACATGCTGAAACTGTCCATTTCTGAAAGAGGGTATTCGTTCATTTTTATTGCAGTTTACTATATCACTGTATAAATATACCATAACTTGTTTATGCATTGACCTGTTAAAGATCAATTGGAACACCTCATAATATAGCCTACCATGGTAAATATGCCTGGTGTACTTGTAAAGAATATGTATTCTGCTGTTTTGCACAATATTTTATAAAAGTCAATTAGGTCCTGTTGATTGGTAATACAGTTTAAATCTTCCATATCCTTAATGATTTTCTACCTATGTGTTCTATTATTGAAAGAGATGTATTGGAATCTGAAACTTGAATTATGGATTTGTCTTTTTATCTTGCAACTTCAACGTATTCTCACTGCAGCAACTTGTTTCTAGGCCTGAAACACTTAAAGCCTTGGTCTCGTCACACAGATAAATTAGGAGTTGATCTGAAAAAGCTGGGATTTGGTTTGGATCTGTATCCCCACCCAAATCTCATATTGAATTGTAATCCCCAGTGTTGGAGGTGGGGCCTGGTGGGAGGTCACCGGATCATGTGGTTGAATTTATCATGAATGACTTAGCACTATCCCACTTGGTACTGTCCTAGTGAATAGAAAGTGAGTGAGTTCTCACAAGCTCTGGTTGTTTAAAAGTTTGTAGCACCAGCTGCTTCACCCGCTCTTGCTCCTGCTCCTGCTGTGTGAGACACCTCACTTTCCCTTTGTCTTCTGCCATGATTAGAACTTCTTGAGGCCTTCCCCAAAGCAGAAGTCACTATGCTTCCTGTACAGCCTGCAGAACCATGAGCCAATTAAACCTCTTTTCTTATAAATCCAATTAACTCTCTTTTCTATATTTCTTTATAGCAGAGCAAGAATGCACTAATACAGGCCACCATAGACCTCTGACCAGCAGTTCATATTTGGTGCTTACTGCTTAATTATTTGCTTGAAGATAATGAGCATTTATTGTTGCAGTAGCAATTAGCAAACTCCTCAACACCAGCGTAGGTAATATAAACATAATGATAGCACTGAAAGTTTTCTGAAGATGTCTGTTGCAAAATTGTAGCTTCAGAAAGAAACTAATGAACTCATAGAACTGGGAGCACTTGGAATCCACATGGAAACTCATTTACCACACTGCAGATGGTATGTCTCCCCTGTGATGAGCAACAGCTTTTGCAAACTGGCTGTTGATCAGGTTCACTTCCTAAGTGGCTCCTCAGGCTCACATATGATTACGAATGGAAAGAAAATTTCAAGGAAATAGTGTTGATGTTGGGCTCAGTGGGATAAATTGTATTTAAGAAAAATGTTGAAGATAATGCTCTATTTGAATTGGCATTATTTTGCAAAATACTAAACATATACATTTTTCTTTCCATAGGAAAATATTAATTAATTGTCTGTAGGGACACAAAGGAAGACTTGCCTGTAAAGGCACTTAAATTAAAATGAAATGAATCTCAGAGTAATAGCTTTTGAAATCTGAAGATATGCCTGAAAAAGAAAGCTAATATAAAAATCGAGCTAACGTTTAATATTAAATAAGTTAGTACAATTAAGTAAGAAAAAGGGAAATGACAACATATTTCAAGCATGTGCTTCTTCCAGGATAAAGTCTCAAACTTTGGGGACTTTTAGTTTGGTGTGCATTTGACTCTTTATTGGTAATAAAAGAAATAAAGTATAGGACAATATAGAATACCAGGAAAGTTGTTCACATTGGGAATTTTGTAAGAAATATGTCCAAAAATAAAAACAAAGACTGTTGACTCATAATATATGCTACATGGTAAGACATTTTATCATATCACTAAAAATTAAGTCGACCTCTTCACTTTGATTAAGCAGGAGAAATGCTGTAGTGGAAAAGATTCAACTCAACTCTCAATCCACCTCTGACTCTTGCACATGCTTGCTCTCTCTCTCTGTCTCTGCAGGACTATTAAATTGGTAGAAAAAAAAAAAGGAATGAAACTCTTGAGCCCTTATTTGTGTTCTTGCTTGAGTGTTGACAGCCCGAATCTATTGCCCTGCCGAGAATGCCTCGGGCTAGAGAGAAAAAAGCCTTCATTCATGATAAAAGCTCCTTAGGCTCAGTTTACTTTTCCAAGTTAGCTTTAAAGTAGTTGAGATACAGAACTGCAGGGTCTTTGCTAATATATCAAATCTAACCTTTTTTGGGGGGAAAAAAGTTAACTTTAGAAAACCGGTGCTAGATGTCAGGGTTGGAAGATGGGAAGGAGAAAGGTTGTGTATTATTTCTATTATCTAAATCTATTTAATCCTATAATCTGAGTCCAACACTTGTAGAATTTTATAGCCATTTGTGAATTTAATATAAAAGGATAGTGTATATATATATATATCTACTCACATTTTATGATGATGGTGACATTGCTAAATTTAAAAAAGCATACTAAAAATTGCTATCTTATTTGAACAATATTAAGTAAATCTGCATTTCTTAGAATTACTATAAAGTACACGAGAGCTTTGAAACATTTAAAATGAAGTTATATATGTGTGTGATTTTATTTTGTCTAATGACTTGTTTGTTCCATCTTTGTTTCCCATCACTCAGCACTGTTCCTAGCACCCAGCAGTTGCTTGGCGTTTGTTGATTAAACGACTGACAATTCCTGGGACTTTAAAAGAGTTCCAATTCAATTTCCATTCAATTTAAACACTGAATGGAAAAATTCTCACACCACTAATTGATGCTTTTGCCCCATATTCTTCCCACAGCAAAATGAGTCTTTCAACAATGTCAACCAGATTCCACATTCAACATTGTGCACTCAATTTAACATTCCACATTGTAAACCAGATTCCACATTCAACACTGTAAACCAGATCATATTCTTCCCCTACTGACTATCCTCTAGTGTTCCATTCCACTTGGAAAACACAATCCAGATTTCTTGCCATGGTCTACAAGACCAACGTGAGTTGGCCCAGTCTGCACTCCACTCCTGTCTGCCCTCTTCAAAGCACTGTCCTCCTTTCAGCTCTTCAGATAGGCCAAGCTCTTTCTCTGCTTACGATGCCTTGCACTAGCTGTCTCATTAGCCGAGAGAGCTCTGCCCCCTGGTCCTTTGCACATCTGGCTCAATCTTGCCATTTGGGGCTGAGTTCAGCATCCTAAAGCAGCCTCCCACCCTTCTCTTATTGTTTGCATGATGACATCCCATACTGATCTCCATCATGGCACTTATTGGTACCTAGTATTAACTAAGAAATTTATTTCTCTTGACATACTGCGCCCAATGAACCCCAGAATATAAGCTCCATAAGTCCAGTGGCCCCCTCCTTTTTACAACTGTACTCTAGAACTTAGAAGAGCGCCAGCACATTGTATGGCTTCATTATCTATATATACAGTTAAAAAATTATATATACAAGTAAACAAATGAACCATGAATAACTGAATGGATAAATGAATGGGAAATATACTATCAGCCAATATCCAAAAATTATACATATTTAGAAGAACGATGGAAAATGAGCATTTAAAAAAACAGTTTTAATTTTGCCTGAAAAAGCAAGGTTGCTATTAGTCATTTTTCAATATTTAATGAAGGGCTGTGCATTTAAAGAAATGTCACTGCTCTCAGGATACAGTGCAGTGAGTGGTCATGTTGAAATAACACACAGTAAAAGATGTCTCATAGAAATTTGACTATATGACGTTTTAAAAAGGCCATGGGGTTCATTCTTTCATGCTAAGAATTTAGAGAAATATTCACTAACAACAACAATGCAAGTATAATAGCAGACACATTTCAGGCAAGAAATCAAAACTGTTGAAAAAACTTCACCGTCCCAGAGTATAATGTGATAGTATGACACATGTTTCTTGAGCTAGGGATAGGGGAAGTTTTGTGAATATACTTCTGAAAATGAAAAACCAAGCTTAATGGGCAAGAGTTTTGCAGGGTCTCCAAGTCTAAACTTTAATAGGTACCACTTAAACCGTTGATGGCAGAATCATCAATTAAGTTTTATAGCAGAGCTGAGTAAGAAATCAATCAACAAAATATTAGTAATCCATCTGCTCATCACAACAAATTCTGGCAGACAACATTATTACCTTAATGATATGATATTGGAAGGAAAAAAAATAAGGAAAACGGCTTAGCATCTCCCAAAGGCATGCAATATGGTTCCAAATCAATTCGAATTTATAGCTATCCTGAGTTCTCTATAATAACTTCATTCCACAAACACTAAATTTTGAACACCTTTTTAAAAAGCCAGAATCAATATACATCCAAAACAACCAGGTGCTCTATTTACATGTCATTCCAATACAGCAGAATGAAAAGCTTTCATATTCAACCCAAGTTTGAAAATTATAGCTGTGGATATATTTTCAGATGTCGCTAGGGGAGCATTTATAAGATACCACACACTTAAGCAAGATACTAAAATAATAAATGAAGTTCAACTGAAAAAACTGCAAAGGGATAAGAGGCATAACTGGATTACCTAAGACCAAAAAATTGAATTCCTCCTGAGGGTATCCAGGAAAGCTGAGCTGCAAAGTTTACTATGAAAATTCCTGTAAACTCTCAGGAGACTATAGAAGTCAAGAAATTAGAGAAAGATGCACATATATGTGTATGAACATTTGGCACCAGATAGTGAGACACGGAGACGTGTGCTTGGAGGCAGAATGCCTGCTATTTGTCTCTTCAGCCCCATTTCCCACCATTCTCCACCTGCTTCGTGCCCCGGGGGCCCCAGGACGCTACCCTACATGGGCTACATGAGCTTCTTACTGATTTTGGTCAATTGGTAGCAGCTACAAAAGAAAATGGAGAAAGAGGTAATTATTCCTCAGGCCTCACTAAGTACTCAAGCCAAGGCTGAGAAGAGAACAGTGTATCGAAATGCATCATGTTCAGTGTTGTTACACAATCATTTACCACCAGATAGAAGCTGCAGCAGGAACTTGAACAAAGTCTGGTGGTTAATGAACCCCAGGAGAATCTGGAAAAGCTAAGGGTATCACACCTCAGTTATCAGTCTTCCTTGGATTTAAAACAAAATTCTGTATGGAACACTTCCCAATTTAAAATAAAAGGAAATAGACCATGAGAATAGAAAAATACATCCTGAGAACTTATTATATGAGAAAAAGACACCATGGCCCCAGTGAATTAGATCCTGGCATTAGAATAGGAATATTATTTATTTAGCCTTACAATATTTGAAGGGGATTTTAACAGGAAAGATAAAGGAATATGACTACAGTAGAGAAAAATTTAACAGTCTTTGAGAACCAAAGGAATCTGGCTGGATACCCTTGTAAGAGTTATGTGGGTTCAGGAGCAAAATAAACTATGTAAAAAGGATCATAAACAGGTGAGGTGTGGCCAAGCGCAGTGGCTCACGCCTGTAATCCCAGCACTTTGGGAGGCTGAGGCGGGCGGATCACGAGGTCAGGAGTTCAAGACCATCCTGGCCAACACGGTGAAACCCCGTCTTTACTAAAAATACAAAAATTAGCCGGGTGTGGTGGTGTGACCCTGTAATCCCAGCTACTTGGGAGGCTGAGGCAGGAGAACTGCTTGAACCCGGGAGGTGGAGGTTGCAGTGAGCTGAGATCACGCCACTGCACTCTAGCCTGGGTGACAGAGCAAGACTCTGTCTTGGAGAACAAAGCAAAGAAAGAGGTGAGATACTACATTGTCTAGATTCAACCTTGGAAGGTAAGTGGAAATTTTGACATAAAAATTGGGAAAAATGGAAATCAAAGCAATGAATTCCCAGAACACTGTACAGAAATTATCAAACTGCATAAGCTAATGAAACACCTACATGACAATTTCAGCAAAATGAAAAAACAAACCCACAAACCACAACCGTCAGAATCACTATTCTTCAATAACTTATGGCAAAAAAGGAGGTAAAAAGATGTCATTTTTCCACAAAGAAGAAAAGCTGAAGCTCAAACACAGACTCGGAGGTTTTTTGTAACCTTTGCACACTAAATATAAAAATTGCCCTTCACAGGCACACAGGATGCATGCAGTGAAATAAAAGTCCTCTCGCGGCTGGGCATGGTGGCTCATGCCTGTAATCCCAGCACTTTGGGAAGCTGAGGCAGGTAGATCACTTGAAGTCAGGAGTGTGAAACGAGCATGGCCAACATAGCAAAACCCCATCTCTACTAAAAATACAAAAATTAGCTGGGCATGGTGGCAGGCACCTGTAATCCCAGCTACTCTGGAGGCTGAGGCATGATAATCATTTGAACCTCAGAGGTGGAGGTTGCAGTGAGCCAAGATCCCACCACTGCACTCCAGCCTGGGTGACAGAGCAAGACTCTGCGTCAAAAAAAAATAAAGTCTTCTGGTTCATAACTAGGTGTACTTGTAAAAGTTGTTTATAACTTCAACATCTGCATGCTAACTTCACCTACGCTTGGAGTTACTATTTAATGAAACAAACAACAATCTTTTAGAGGAAGCAATGGAACATTTTAGAAATGGGAACAATGTCTCTTGTTTGCCTTTGCTGCAGATGTCACTTCCTCTGGCTCGTGTTAGCACAGGGAGACCCCTCGCAGAATCAATCAATTTGCTTTGGAACAAATTTCTGATATATATATTATATATACATAATATATATTTTATATATTTATTATACATAATATATATTTTATATATATTATGTATGATAAATATATTTTATATATTTATTATATATATTTTATATATTTATAATATATAATATATAAATAATATACATTTATTATATGTAATATACATTTATAATATATAATATATAAATAATATACATTTATTATATGTAATATACATTTATAATATGTAATATTTATGATATATAATGTATTTATAATATATATTATATAATGTATTTATAATATATATTATATAATATATTATATTATATATTATATAATATATTATATAATGTATTATATTATATATTATATAATATATTATATAATGTATTATATTATATATAATATAATATATATTATATAATATATTATATTATATATAATATATTATATAATATATTATATAATATATTATATATAATATACTATATATTATATAATATATTATATTATATATATTATATTATATATAATACATATTATATAATATATATTATATAATATACAATATATAATATATTATATAATATATTATATAATATATTATATAATATATATTATATAATGTATAATATATACAATATATTATATAATACATAATATTAATATATATAATATATTATAAAATATATTATATAATATATTATATATACTATAATATATTAAATATATAATATATAATATAATATATAATATATAATATATAATTAATATAAATAATATAAAATATATAATATATATTTATAACATAATATATTTATAATATATATTATAATATATAATTATAATATATATTTATAATATATATTATAATATATAATATATTTATAATATATATTATAATATATAATATATTTATAATATATAATATATTTATAATATATAATTATAATATATATTATAATATATACTATATTATATATAATATAGTATATTTTATAATATATACTATATTATATATAATATAGTATATATTTATAATATATAATTTATAATATATATAATATAGTATATATTTATAATATATATTTATAAAATATGTAATATAGTATATATTTATGATATATTTTTATAATATATATAATATATTATATATTATAATATATATTTATAATATATATAATATATTATATATTTATAATATATATTATAAATATATAATATATTATATTTTATAATATATATGTTATATATTTATAATATATAATATATATATTATAATATATAATATATTATAATATATATAATATATATTTATTATATATATATTATATATATATATAAAACTTTCCAGACTGACTTTAAGATTGGTTTGATATTTTTATTTTCTATTTTACTTTGTTTTGCAGTGCTATGAATAATTGACAGATGACTAAAATAACCATCTTTATTGTTACAGCAAAAACCTTGATAGCGGTGTTTGTTCCATAGTGCATATTTAAAAGGCTGTATTTCAGAGGGTCACTCTGGGCTAATGACCTTTCTTCAGATTAAATATATATTTTTAAATTTTACAAAGTTCTGGGTATTCTAACCATAAGAAATAACTGAAAGTGCATAAACCTTTACAAAATAGCAACTATCAAATTATTTTACTTCTACATATAAAATTAGTTTTATTGACTAGGAAAATTGTACTATAAATGCTGTGAGAACTTTGGAGAAATAATTGATGGATAGCAGAGATTTAGGTAGATATATATTTAGATAGCTAGCTAGCTAGAGGATAGATATAGACAATACTACACTACACTGTGCTATGTCATATTTTAATAATGACACGCAAAATGCTTTCCATGCATTGTTAAATACAGGGTCTTCAACAACTCTACCATGTGGGTACTTTCCTTTGATCACGTCATCCTGCGGAGATGAGAAATCGTTTAACCATGATGTCAGCCTTAGTCTGATGCCAAAGCCCATATTTGATTTCTTTGGGAATTATAAATTTTAAAACAACTTCAGATATATAGAACAGTTGCAAAAATTGTACAAAGAACTCTTACATATTCTTCATCCAGCCTCCTCAAATACTGGTATTTTTTTCACGTTTAGTTTATCTTCTTCTCTCAATCTTTCTCTATGTACATTATATAGAGAAAGTAAGTTAAAAAAGAAAGTAAACTAAAACAAGTAAATGCAAAGTAAATATATGCATATATACATATTTAACTATATATAATGTACATTATTATATATCTTTATGTATGTAATTACTTTTTCTAAACCATTTGAAAGTAACTTTCAGATAGGATGTCCCTTTACCCCTAAACACTTCACTTGGGATTTCCTGAGAATAAAAACATTCATTTACATAAATTTTTACACAATACTTTTCTCAAAATCAGAAAATACTGATAGAATGCTGTTACCTTATTGAGCAAATCTGATCCTTACTTGTAAATTGAACCAATTATATCTGTAACACCCAAGCCCCCCAAATTGAACCGAGGACCACCTGCTGCATTGAGTTTTCATGTACTTTCAGTCCCCTCTGATCTGGAACAGTCCCTCAATCTCTCTCTCATAGCCTTGACATTTTCTGTTGAGTGTAGGCCAGTTTTTGTGTAGAATGTTCCTCAATCTGGGTTTGTCTGATGTTTATATTAGGAGACACATGCTATCGTTTGTCCCAATATTTCAGCTTTGATCATTTGGTTCAGGTGGTTCCTGCCAGGTTTCTCCACTGTTAAGGTTCCTGATTTTTATTTTTATGTTGAATAAGTGTTTTCTGGGGCGACAAGGCTATGCAAATATTCTGCTGTTAATCAAACCTCTACTTACCAGTTTTAGTATCCATTGATAATCCCTGCTTGAATCAATTATTAGTATGATGGTTGCCAAACTGCAGTTTTTCTAAATGAATCAATCCTTCTACATGTGGAATTTTACAGAGAGGAAGAGACTTCTAACATTTATTTATGTATGTATTTATTTGGTTATATCATACAGACCCATGGATTCCTATTTTTTACTGGGTTAACATCTATTGGTCATAATATCATTATTTATTTTGATACTCAATTCCCCTAGAGTAGCCAATGGGAGCCCTCTGAAGCTAAATCCCTTGTCTTTTGGATACGTCCTCACTGTTACATGCATCCTTCTTTCTTTTCTGGTGTAAGAAAAATGTTCCAGCCTCCTATTATACTTTTCCGGCTCCAACCCCAGAATCAACCATTTCTATGAGGAGCCCTAGTATTTTTAGTGGAGAAAATGTTCAGAAACTGAGTGCCAGGTGTATTCATTCCTAGTGGGATGTCATTGCTTCCAGATATTCTCAAAGACGAAGCTAGGAAATGTGTGTGTTATACACAAAAATATCTTTATGACAACCCCAAGTGCATAGTGATAACTGTGATTCCAATCAAGCATCACAGTGTTTATTCGAGACTCTTCTTTTTCAATATCTGTAGCTTCCTTCTGTGACACTGATAAATCTGACTCTGGTTATCTCAATATTTGTTGTTTATCAAATTTAGAATACACAGGAGTTATAGAAATGACAACTCAGAACAAAAACAAAACTACTTATTAAATTCATTTTTATATTGAGTTCTGACTTTATGCTAAAAGTATGTAGTAAATAATTCAGTGGGTAAAGTTATTTGGAAATTTCCTTTTCCCTTTCACTGTGCCATATTATCTATTTGAAATACTATTAAGTTCATTTGTTTGCATTTATAATTGGTTTTAGTTTGTTTTATTCTGTGTCCTTGCTGATTTTTTTAAACATAATACATTAACAAGGTTCCAAAGGTCAAAGCTATACAAAAAGATTCAGAGAAGGGTCACTGTCCTAACCTGGGCCCTGGCTGGGCACTGCTACCCCCTCGTACCTCCCATTCAGTTCCTACTCACCCCCCATCGGGAAATTTATCTCACTTGTTTCTGGTTTATTCTTCCCATTTCTTTGATAAAAATCAGCAGACATGCATACTTTCAGTGTGGGGCCTGGTTAAAAACCCACGTGTGACATTTCAGGCGGAGCATGGGCAGTTGAGCAAAGCTGCCCTCCCACATGGGATTCAGAGCACAGCCAGAGCCCTGCACAGTCAAGGTTTCAGAGCCCCCGGCCAGTCAGGCTTTTTTACGTACTCACACTGCTACATACCTAGGTCTCTAGCTGAGGCCCTGGGCAAGGCCCTCTTCAGGCGCCTCTGCAGAGGCCTCCTTCCAGGAGGAGGGGAAACCTTGAAGACATGCTTCCTCACTGTGACTCAGTCCACTTTGAGCTCTCTTCACCTGGCCACAGGGTCCATAAAACTGCTGGAGCCTTTTGTTGGGTCACGCATGTCCGCACGGATCCACCTGACCCTTGACCAGTGCACCATTCCATGGAGGAAACAGGAACGGAAGCGAGCTGGTGCTTCCTCCCTATACCACTCCCTATACACTGCAGTGAGTGATGAAAGGTTTAACTCATTAAGGGCTTGTTGCTTTAAATGGCTACTCTGACACCTGGCTCTCTCTCCCAGCTGAGGGGAGCTCCTTACTCCACTCCACTCAGTCCCCTTCACTCCTGCAAATAAGATAACACAATACAGATCACCTTTCGTATTTTTTTTTTCACTCAGCAAGGTAGTCCTTAAATTACTCCACCTCAGTGTGTAGAGGTCTTTCTCATGCCTTTTTCCCAGCTGCATAGTACTCTATTGAATGGTTGTACTCTCCCGGTTTAGGCAACCCCTAGGTTGTTTCTGGTATTTTTCAATAACAATTACTTTTTGTATAATATCATATTGTTGAAAGACAACATGTTCACGTTGTAGAAAACATGAAATTTAAAACATATTATCTTGAGTAAACTTGCAGCATGATTTTAAGAACAGCAACTTTTGCGATTGATCCTTTTGAAAATTGGAAGCCAACCGTTCAAATTTATTGTCAAGTGTTTCCTCTAGTGAAGTGGTGGGGAAGGTTTCTTTGACTGTGAGTTCTGAAATGTTAGGCTAACAAATCGCTAAACTGTGGCAGTGGAGAAAAGGAACTCACACAAGTACACCGCTGAGCTTCATTCTTCTGGGAGAAAAAAGGCTTCTTTGAGATTATATGATTGGTTTCTTTTCCCTCAATTGCAGTAACAAGTATATGGGCTAAGGATGATGATCAGAAACTAGAGAAAAAAAGAGCTATGTATCAAAGGTAACTGCAAAGGGAAAAGTAGTATGGCAATCCCAGCTTTCAGGCAGAAGCGCAGAACCAACTCAATTCAGGGCTGTAATATTCTCCCGTTCAAGGTCCAGTTTCAGCCACAGCCTAATTTTCAACAGGAATGGCATTTGTAAGCTGGAGATTGTCAGCTACGCTCTTGCTGCTGAATCCTGTTTTCAATGCATCCCTCCTCCCTTCCTTTCTCCCCTGTCACCTTCCACTGCTCACCCTTCTACTCTCTGAAATTGAAGCAAATTACAATGTACTCTATAGCATTCCAGCTAGAAGAATGAAAGAGTTATTCAGATATAAAGAACATAATACAGGAAAGTCCTTCAGTGAGAAAATGGTAAGCCGAGAACTTTCAAATTTCAAGACTGAAAGTATGAATGCTTATATGTTACAATCAATATATAAGGCTGAGGTCAGAAATCAAATGTAAATGACATATTCATGGAAAGTATCTACTCGCAGGGTAGGATATTCTTAGAGATGGAAATCAATTTGTTGTAAATTGACTGAAGTTCATTTACACGAAACAGAACCTTTGTACAATAGAGCATAAACTGACAAGATAAGTATTCATTCTGAGACTCTAAAATGGAAAAGAACAGTTCAAAACTGCCAAGATGAAGGTCTCCATCTGGCATTTCAAATTTGCTGATATTTTATGAAAGTCAGTTTTATGTTATAGGGCAATTTTCTGCCAAAGAAATAAAAGGTGGGACTAATTCTTGTTTAAAATAATAATAAAAAAAAACTGAATCCATAGCAAAGGCGACACATCTGTTGTTGTTCCAATTTATTTTCTGTAAGCCACATTAATTATACATATGAATCACATACATGAATTTAATTCAAATTAATAATAGACTCTTGAAAATACAGGCCGATTAGAAAATTACTGAGCATTTTTTCCATCACTCACTTTCCATACACAAAATGTAACTTGCCTTGGAACCCCTGCAGACTGCCCCTTGGACAAAATATCCTCTTTGAAAGGGGATAAAATGCTCCTCCTGTCTTTCTTCTTGTCTTGATAGGTGGAAAGTGCACAGGACTCCTGAGGTCCTCTGACTGTCCCTTGCCAACTTTCATCTCCCATCACGAGGAGGGAGAAGGTTCTTATGATGGACAACATTTGATTCCTTAGTTGGGCCATGTCTATTGCTAGCAGGGCCAACTAGAAGTAGGGTATTAGATCCATGCAAGTTACCCTGGAACACTCTCCTCGTGGCTGACCCATCCCCACTGGTCACTCAATAGTAACAACCCTGAGATCACAATTTATATATGGTGAGAGCCTGAAGGTTGTCTTCGGTCTCAAGCCCAAGCATGCCATGGAGTCCTACCTCGCCTTTACCAGGGAGATGTCATGGAGCTTTAGGCACAGGATCCTGGCGATAAAGCAGCCCTCACTGCTCATCTCACAGTAGTCCCTTCTGCATCTGATGCTTTCAGGATCATGCAGTAACAAGAGGGGATGGGCAGGATGGATGCCTACCCAACACGCCAACTCCACCTTCCGAAACCTCACACACGCGGCTCTGAAATTCACACACTTCCACTCAGTCAACTGTGTGTGTGCAACTCAAACATCCGCCTCTCTCCCGGGCCTGCTCAAATGGCCCCTTATTAACAAAGAGTTTGTCTTAAATATCTAAGATCATAGCATGTGGATTAATTTTTTGTGTTTTACATTTTGTGAAGCTCATTTCATTATTTTGTGTGGCTTCATGAAAATGTTGTAAATAGCTATTTTTAGAACTTCCATAGGGAGATATATCTTATGGAGTCAGCTCCCTAGGGTGGTTAAGAGTCTGTACTTGGGAATCCATCAGAACTGGTTTGAAATTCAGGTCTGGGAATCGCTAGTTATGTAGCATTAAATGTTTGCTAATCTAGGCCTAGTTTACATGCATGTACATGTTACAATGAGGAAAATGACCCTTACCACATAGAAACTATGAGGGTTAAATGGGATCCAATATGTGTATAGAAGGCATGTGGCATGGTGCCTGACAATATTAAGTGCCCCATAAATCATATCCATTATGTTCATGTCATAAATATTGTAGAAAAATCTAATTCTGACTAAATGATAGAAAATCACCACATTCAATGTAACACTGAAAATTTTAACCATTGTAACTATAACTAAATATTTCAAGAATGTTTGAAAAACCATGGTTTAACATTTCATGCGATCATTCTTCACGACAAATATAGTTTTTCTCATCAGAGGCTCAACAGTATGGGCTTTTGTATCTAATTAATTCAGATATTTTCTCCATTACAGTAAAAGATCCCCTTGGGAAAATCACATCCATCATCTTCTGAAACGTTGCCTGTCACAGCAAGGGACTATATATAGGCTTCAAAATTTCATACTTAACCTTTTCTGTCACTTAGCGTTTCTATTTCTTTTTTGATTTCTATAAGACAAGCTGCATTCATCTTAAAATAAACCAATACCAAGCATGAAAAAAGAAACCCCGAGAGAGCCTCTGTTGTTCCTATGTGTCTTGCTGAGGTAGCTGGCTGTCTATGTGCAATGAGCACCATGACCCTGCGGGAAAGATCTGGAACAGAGATGAAGAACACAGGCCATAATAACTTTTATTTTTATTTTTATTTTTTTTGAGACGGAGTCTTGCTCTGTCACCCAGGCTGGAGTGCAGTGACATGATCTCCGCTCACTGCAAGCTCCACCTCCTGGGTTCACGCCATTCTCCTCCCTCAGCCTCCCAAGTAGCTGAGACTACAGGCGCCCATCGCCATGCCCGGCTAATTTTTTGTGTTTTTAGTAGAGATGGGGTTTCATCGTGTTAGCCAGGATGGTCTCAATCTCCTGACCTCGTGATCCACCTGCCTCGGCCTCCCAAAGTGCTGGGATTACAGGCGTGAGCCACCGCGCCCGGCCCATAATAACTTTTAGACAGACAAAGTCAAAGTCTTGAGGCTCAATAGCTGGTTTAAAACAAATGCACATGTGCTCATATCCCATTCTTGGGAGATGTGGTTAAAATAAGAAAAACTAATGATGAGAGGAGCCATTTTTGAATTACTTGGAGTCTAAATTATCAAATATTTTGCAAGAAAAGCATGTTTTTATTATTTTCAGTCTTTTATGGTAATACGAATTAAGCTCTCATAATCTTGACAGATGTGTTTTAGGACCTGCTTTAAAACAGCAACAGGAATGATTTACAATTAGTATAGAAAATTGTAATGTGCGAACTGATCATTTCAAAGTGATTTCTCAGTGTGCTCAGCTTTTTATAATAATCTCTAATTGTATTTATATACTTAGGATGCTTTTTTGTCCTCCCAAGAGCCAAAACCTATCTTGAGTATAGCTCTCTACCATTAAATAAATCCTACATGAGTGGGCTCTGCAATAATGAGATTACTATGTAATGACTTTATGTTATCTGAAACTCTAAGTTAAATATAAAATCTAGAGCACTACACTTAGCAAGTCACCTGTTTTTATATTATTATTTTCTCATAATTTAGCCTTGGTGCACTAGCTGAATATCACATCATTCTTTGCCTATTATATCACTACATTAAAATATCACAAATTCTTCTTATGTAAAGCATCACATGCTTCCTTCTAGAACTTTGGTGATCAACCATACTTAGATGGTTTACTGACTCATACAACATTTCAGGAAGAGCTACCAAGGTATTTTCTTTCTACTATCAGAATGAAACACTAGGGCTAAAATTCTATAATCAAATTTACATTTTTATGGAGAAAAACATGAGGTACACAGAGACCAACAAGGTTATTCATGACTTAAGCATTAAGTGCCAAGTCTCTCCCTAAATATCTTCCTCATTCACCTTTCCATTGGGCCCTGCATGCCTGTGTGTTGAATAAGTAAATAATAAGTGCTATAGCTGTTAGAGTGTCATTAGAATCTCCAGAACCATGTAAGACATGGGCTAAGGAGCTGAAAGAATACTTTGAGGGGCACTGAAGTGTTTCCAACTCTGGCATGCCTCGGTGCACCCTCAAGCTCAGAGATGGATTGAAAGGCACCGTTCAAAACAAGTCTCCCAGCAGCCTGCTATCTACAGATCATTGAAATGATATACTGCAATAACTTCCCCTGGAACGCTTATGGCTTATTGCGCTGATGTGTAATTAATCTGCTGAGCAGTGACAGGACCCAGCTGAAGAGTGCTTCTGGAGCTTTTAAGATCTGGCATGCCAAAGAACACTTGGGGAGTCCTTGGTCCACGCTTTGTTAGCACAACAGACTACAACGAGCCTTTAATCTGTGATTGCACATATGCTAGATAACTTTATGTATTAAAAATCATGGCTGGGTATGGTGGTCACGCCTGTAATCCCAGCACTTTGGGAGGCCAAGGTGGGTGGATCACCTGAGGTCAGGAGCTCGAGACCAGCCTGGCCAACATGGTGAAACCCTGTCTCTACTAAAAATACAAAAATTAGCCTGGTGTGGTGGCGGGCGCCTGTAATCCCAGCTACTCAGGAGGCTGGGGCAGGAGAATTGCTTGAAACTGGAAGGCAGAGATTTCAGTGAGCCAAGATTGTGACATTGCACTCCAGCCTGGGCGACAAGAGCAAAACTCCGTCTCAAAGGAAAAAAAAAAAATATCACAAAGTGGTTTTGCTCAGCCTTGGTCTAATGTCAGCAGCACCTGTAAGTGCATGTGCATTTGTAACCTGTGCTCAAAGTTGAGAGGATGGAGGGACAGCAGACTCTTCCTGCGGAGAACAACTGTGTTTTTGTGGCTTGGTCAGGCTTAGAGAGCTCATTAGGCTCCAGCCCTGCAAATCTGTGACTGCAGTGCACTTCTGACTTGCAGTAAACATGGATAGAATATAGGGAGAGCTTGGATGGAACTGGAATTGTCAGTGACAGAATGCTGACTAAGTGACCAATGAATCAAAAAAAAAAAAAAAAAAAAAAAAAACAGATAAAAACAAAGAAACATACAAATGATGTCTGAAAAGAGCAAAATCCTATTTAAAGATATGAATGTTTTTCTAGATATTCTTTTGTACATGATACTGAAAATATTTTCATTTGAATATCAAAAAGTGGTTGATGAAGTTGGATGTAGCTGATAGGCTAAACATACATATCTTGGTTCTTTCACAATTTCAAAGCAGTTGGTAAGGGACAGATATATATGTAGGTAAACAAAAAAGTTCAAGCTTATCAGCATCTACTAACTCGAGAAAAGCATTTCAAAAAACATCTTAAATGTTGAAATTGGGGAGTTAACAGTTAATATGTAGTGGAATTCAGAAATTGATTTTTTTCTCACATATAGGACTAATAAAGATTCTCCCCATATTTCTACATTTTAAAATTTAGGAATGCCATGACAAACAAGAATAGCTCTCTTTGAATTTTCTGTTAAAATATGTAATGGGCCCGGCGCGGTGGCTCATGCCTGTAATCCCAGCACTTTGGGAAGCCAAGGCGGGCAGACTGTGAAGTCAGGACTTCGAGATCAGCCTGGCCAACATGGTGAAACCTCATCTCTACAAAAAATACAAAAATTAGCCGGGCATGGTGGTGCGCACCTGTAATCCCAGCTACTCAGGAGGCTGAGGCAGGAGAATTGCTTGAATCCGGGAGGTGGAAGTTGCAGTGAGTCGAGATCATACCACTGCACTCCAGCCTGGGTGACAGAACGAGACTCTGTCTCAAAAAAAAAACAAAAACATATATATATATATATATATATATATATATATATATATATATATATAAAATATATGTGTATATATATTATATATATAATATATATAATATATAACATCTATATACATCAAATATATATATAATGTACTTAATTGATAAGAAAACAGATAATTAAACTATCATATAAAACCACACTTAAATGACTAAAAATCTGATGCTTTTTAACAAAGGCTTTCAAATAATTGGTCAGTACAAATTCAAGGTCATCCAATCCCTTTATGCTTTATGAAGACTAGAATCTGTTCCTCTCATACTTTTTGATGTCCCGGCATTACAGGGAATATATATATATATATATATATATTTTTTTTTTTTTTTTCCTTAAGCTCTTTTTTAAAATAATCTTTTAATTTCGTTTCCATGAACATTTTGAAGTCCCTTCCTCCGTGACTAAAATATCCCCACATGCTCAGATAAGAAACATATTACTCATCCGAAGTTTCTAGGATATTACTGTGCGTACAAATCACCTGATGATCCTGCTAATATGCAGATTTTGATTCCCTACTTCTGGGATGGGTTGAGATCCTGCATTTCTTCTTTTTAAATTTTAAATCCAGGTGGTACATGTGCAGTTTTGTACATGGGTATATCGTGTGATGTTGGGGTTTGGGCTACCATTGAATCCATCACCCAAATAGTGAACATAGTGCCCAATAGGTAGTTTTTCAACCCTTGCCCCCTTCTTTCCCTCCCTACTTTAGAATTCTCCAGTGTCTATTGTACCCGTCTTTATGTCCATGTGTACCCATCGTTTAGTTCCCACTTATAAGTGAGAACATGCAATTATTTGATTTTTTGTTTCTGCATTAATTCCCCTAGGATTATGGCCTGTAACTGCATCCACGTCGCTGCAAAGGACAGGATTTTGATCTTTTTTTTTGGCTGCATAGTATTCTATGGTGTATATGTACCACATTTTCTTTATCCAATCTACCATTGATGGGCATTTAAGTTGATTTCATTACTTTGCTATTGTGAATAATGTTGCAATAAACATATGAGTTTTTGATAGAATGATTTCTTTTCCTTTGGGTAGTTACCTAGCACTGGGATTGCAGGGTTGAATGGGAGTTCTATTTTTAGTTCTCTGAGAAATCTCCATAATGTTTTCCATAGAGGTTGTGCTAATTTACACGCCCACCAACAGTGTATAAGCACTCCCTTTTCTCTACATCTGCGCCAATATATGTTATTTTTTGACAATAGCCATTCTGACTGGTATGAGCTGGTATCTCATGTGGTTTTCATTTGCATTTCTCTGATGATTAGATGTTGAACATTTTTAAATATGTTTGTTGGCTGCCTATATGTCTTCTTTTGAGAAGTGTCTGTTCATGTCCTTTGTCCCCTTTTAACCGGTCTTTATTGTTGTTGTTGTTGATTTAAGTTTCTTATAGATTCTAGATATTAGTCTTTTATCCAATGCATACTTTGCAAATATTTTCTCTCATTCTGTAAGTTGTCAGTTTACTCTGTTGATTGTTTCTTTTGCTGTGCAGAAGCTCTTTAGCTTGTCAATTTTTGTTTTTGTTGCATTTGCTTTTGAGGATTTAGTAATAAATTACTTACCTAGGTCAGTGTCCAGATGAGTTTTTCCTAGGTTTTCTTCTAGGATTTTAATAAATCAGTGCCTTACACATAAGTCTTTAATCCATCTTGAGTTAATTTTTGCATACGGTGAGAGGAAGCGTTCCAGTTTCACTTATCTGCATATGCCTAGCCAGTTTCCCAGCACCAATTATTCAATAGGGTGTATTTTCCCCATTGTTGATTTTTATCAACTTACCAAAGGTCAGTTGCTTGTAGGTATGAGGCTTTATTTCTGGGTTCTCTACTCTGCTCCATTGATATATGTGTCCATTTTTGTACCAGTATTGAAATGGGAAAGGTTCCCTTGTCCCCCTAGCAGGGCATGCGGTGGGGGTGTGGCTTGCTTCTTCAGAGCCCTGCTGCTCCAACCTCTAGGTGAACATACAGACGGGCAGGCTGTGGGGCTCCCACCCCACAGCAGTGTCTCGGGGTGACTGTTTACAGCTCCTAAAGCCCCAGTGGGCGTGTGTTACAGGGTGTTCTCTTAGTTTGCCTACGGGCACCTTGTGTTAATCAACTCAATTAGAGCGTCTACCTTGTTACAAGGACAGAGGGCTTTCTGTATCCCCAGTTTCTTGCCTTGGTGTACCAGAAGAATCAGATCACACGTTGGCTTGGCGAATGGGTGCAAAGTTTTACTGAGTGGAAGTATCTCTCAGCTGATGGGGCAGCAAGAAGGAAGACGGTTTTTCCCTGGAGTCGGGCTGCTTCGGGGCCAGGGCTCTCCTCCGACCGCCCCAGCCAAACTCCACGTGGTTCTGCTGGTCGCCTGCCGGTGTTTGTCGGTGTGCTCTTCTCCTAGCCTGCTCCTCTCCTCGCCCTCTCCACGACTAGCGGCTTGCATCTTCTTCCGCCGATGTGCTCCTCTCCATGTCTGGCCGTCTGTGTGTCTGCCTGCTAGGGTATCGGGTTTTTAGAGACCCAGGATGGGGGTGTGGCGGACCAGGGTGGTCTTAGAAAATGCAACATTTGGGCCCGAAAGCAGGACTACCTGTCTTCACCTAGGTCCATGGGGGTGGAGCCGTAGCCAGGGACCACGCCCTCCTTTACCCAGCACTTCCCTTCCCTCCCTATCATTTAGAAGGACCATACTCTTCCCTTTCCAGTACTCCTGTATTAGCATCATGCTGTTTTGGTTACTATAACCTTGTAGTATAGTTTGAAATCATGTAATGTAATGCCTCTGGCTTTGTTCTTTTTGCTTAGGATTTCTTTGGCTATTTGGACTCTTTTTTGGTTCCATATCAATTTTAGAATTGCTTTTTCTAGTTCTGTGAAAAATGGCATTGGTATATTGATAGGAATGACATTGAATCTGTAGATTGTTTTGGGCAGTATGGTCATTTTAATGATATTGATTCTTCCATCCCTGAACACAGGATGTTTTCCAGTTTGTTTGTGTCAGGTACGAGTCCCTCCCTTCCTCCCTCCCTCCCCCAACCCTTTTTTTTTTTTTTTTTTTTTTTGACAGAGTTTCACTCTGTTGCCCAGGCTAGAGTGCAATAGCACAATCTTGGTTCACTGCAACCTCTGCCTCCCAGGTTCAAGCAATTCTCCTGCTTCAGCCCCCAGGTAGCTGGGGGTAATTGCATGTGCCAACATGCCCAGCTAATTTTTGTATTTTTAGTAGAGACAGGGTTTTGCTATGTTGGTCAGGCTGGTCTCAAACTCCTGACTTCAGGTGATCCACCGGCCTCGGCCTCTCAAAGTGCTGGGATTATAGGCGTGAGCCACAGCGCCCAGCCCACTTATTTCTATTTTAAATTTTTACATTTACCACTTTTTTGTTAAAAATTAAAACAGAGTTTTGTAGTTCTCCTTAAAGAGATCTTTCATCTCCTTGATTAAATGTATTCCCAGGAATATTACTTTTTGTGTGTAAGGCTCTTGTAAAGCGAATTGTTGTCACTATAGTGAACAATTTTTAGACTCAGGAACTTCTAAAACCACATAGATGCTTCAGTTCTGAACTCTAGTGACCTTGGTGCAGTCCCAAACAAAGATCTAACTTTTACACCTAAGAATGAATTTTGAGTTCATCGAAGACCTGAAGTATTTGCAAAAACAAAGAGAAAGCAGTCTTATAAATTAGACTAAACTGTAAGCATCTCAAAAATAAGTCCAGTGTTTCATTCCTTTGTTGTTTATAGTCAGCACGTGCACCAAATAAGTCTTTTTTTATATTATGAAACATTTATTACATATTTTTATATATGTATATAACTTCTATACGTTTCTATGTTGTGTTCATGTCCAGATTGTATTTTTTTTTTTTTTTTTTTGAGACGGAGTCTCGCTCTGTCGCCCAGCCTGGAGTGCAGTGGCGCAATCTCGGCTCACTGCAAGCTCCACCTCCTGGGTCCACGCCATTCTCCTGCCTCAGCCTCCCGAGTAGCTGGGACTACAGGCACCTGCCACCACGCCTGGCTAATTTTTTGTATTTTTAGTAGAGACGGGGTTTCACCGTGGTCTCGATCTTCTGACCTTGTGATCCGACCGCCTCGGCCTCCGAAAGTGCTGGGATTACAGGCGTGAGCCACCGCACCCAGTCTGTATTTTTAAATTATGTATTATTTATAAATAATTTCAGAAGATTAGTATACTCTCATTTGACCATCAAATCTGCAAAGGTACTTTTGTTTTCTTCCTTCCTGTGCAGTACAGAAAGTGAGCCTTTTCTAATCCGTGTCATGTCTCTCCCTATATACTGTCCAATTCATTCCATCTTTTTAGTGACTTCCTTCTATTGACTACCCTTTCTTGCAGTGTCAACTTTTTAAGGAAACCTTGTCAGTGAATTCTGTGATCTCCCAGTGGCCATATCCATGGTGCTTTTTTTTTTTTTTTTTTTTTTTTTGAGACGGAGTCACTCTGTTGCCCAGGCTGGAGTACAGTGCCACGATCTCAGCTCACTGCAACCTCCGCCTCCCAGGTTCAAGCGATTCTTCTGCCTCAGCCTCCTGAGTAGCTGGGACCACAGGCATGTCCACACCTGGCTAATTTTTTTTCATATTTTTAGTAGAGATGGGGTTTCACCATGTTGGCCAGGCTGGTGTTGAACTCCTGACCTCAAGTGATCCACCCGCCTCAGCCTCCCAAAGTGCTGAGATTACAGACATGAGGCACTGCCCCCGGGCCATGGTGTGTTTAATGTGCTTTTAAATACAGGAGCAATCAAGGCTTGGTAGATAGGGAGATGAGGGCCAAACAAGCAGTTGCAAACCACTATTGCAGTCAAGGAAAGGTTAACAATCCTTTCTTAGCAGAACAGACATGGGCTCGCAGGTCCTGTCAAATGAAATTACTTGTCAGCATAGCTACATGCAGAATAGTTCAACAGCCTGGAAGCCAGAAATCTGAGCTTCTTCATTTCTTAGTTCTTTCAGTGAATTGCTTTGAAATATGTTGACATCTGTGTAACTTTGTGGACTATCACTTCCGCAACTCCGTGAAGACAGAGAACTCTTATATGTATTCGCGTATTCATAGACACATGACAAATGGAAGGCAAGTTGGCTTTCCCTAAAATGCGGAGGCACACGTGTGATGCCTTCTGCTAACACTGCAATTATGTACTCATAATCTCTCATTGTAAATAGAGGCAGATGAAGCCACTCCAGCTCTACGTCAACTCTCCTGGAAAGAACCAGAATGTAGGTCCTGTAACCTACTGAGTTTTCATTGGCTTCATGAACACGTATGTCCTGCAATCTTGTGGACCTGTAAGCTCTTCATGCATTAAGACACATTCACTTTCAGCCACCTCAACTTTCCTAAAAGAGATGCTTTTGCTGTAAATATTCTAAAGCTATTTCAGTCAAGATGTTCTGAAGCTATATTACTTAGAAAAATGCTTTTAGTAGGGAAAGTGGAGCTCCCTAAAGGCATCTTAATATGTACTTATCTGCTTTGCTTTTTTTTCCCCCCACAAATGGCATTCATCAAAATAAGTTAAATAGTAATGGCTTGAAACGTAATTGTGCTGTTGTACGTTCTCCAACTGTGTACATTCAACAAACCTTGGAAAATTTCAGATCACATGAAGAGCAAATTATTGGTATGTTGTTGGCAATCAGGATTAAGTTGCCAGAGTCATGTTGCTTAATAGCTTGCTTTTCATAAAATAATGATGGTGAGAAGTTAATATTTATTGAGTCTACCGTATGTGTAATGGACTGTACTTCAGGCATTTTCTCATTTAATCATGATAACAAACCTATAAACTAGAAACCACTTTGAATTCCTAGTTAATAGATAATGAAACTAAAAAAGAGAGATAAGCAATTTTGCCTGTGGTCACGTGGTATGCTGCGGTCTAGAGCTGGGATTCAAATCTGGGCTTCTAACTTCAGAACCCTCACTTATGACCTCTCTACAAATTCTGCTCTCCCCAAAACCCATGTCAATCGTTAGTGTTTCAAGACTCTAAGCATTATTCTTTCTATATCAAGAAATTGACTGTATTTTTAGTCTCCATACTTCATAGGAATTCATCTTATGATTCCTATGTTTTTGGATATCCTCCTCTGTATGTTTAACCATGATATTAATCTTGACATGTTTCAATGTTATAATCACAGAACACCCTAAGTTGATGTTTTGCACCATCCTCATAAAGTAACCATGTTTGTGGTCCCTCTGGGCATCTATCCTGTCAGAGAATTGCTCTGATTTCCACTTATTTTCAGTTCCTGCGAGTGCGACAAACCTCTGTATATTCTTGTGTAGAAAAACCAGTCCTCAGGCAAAAGTAGAATAAGTAAGCAATACCTTTATCCTGTTACAAAACTAAAGAAATATCAGCAATTTCTTCAAGAGCAAGCTCATGTCACTTCATCTGTTAATCCTTCCTGACTATGCCAGGTGAAGTTAACCACGCCCAAATTTGTGTTTCCAGATATGCCATATAACACTGTAAGTGATTATACTCTGCAATGTTTTAATACATCTGCCTTTCTCATAAGACAATAAATACTTGCTGGGGGGTGGGAAGGGGCATGCTTATTTCTATATTCACAGATCTTAGCACAGTTGCTGAGGTTGCCTCCGTGCTTAATACATGGTTGTGGAAAGTAGGGAGAAAGTGGAGAGGAGGAAGAAGGGGCAGAAAAGGAGAGAGGGAGGGAAGAAGGAAGGTGGGGAAGGAGGAATAGATTAATTACATTAACTTGGAGTGTGGTTTATATTCATACTAGATGTTTTGATTTTTCCATAATTTCCCATATTGCCAGGATAAAAAAAAATCACATAAGAAATATACTCCGAATACTGCCTCTGACCCAGATTCCAAAGAACAGAAAGAAAGATGGTCAGAAACACTGAGAACTGTCATGTCATTAGGCTTTCCAGGAGAATTCTGTACAGCTTCAACTGTGCTCTTTTAGAAAAGCCAGGTGTTATAAAAACTTGGTTGTTTATTGACGTATTTTATCTAAAACATGGTTTTAAAGTGTGTGCGTGTTTTTAACCTGATAGGTAGAAGCTAGAACAGCTGCCATTTAAACATTGCCATCAGTTTTCTATCTTCTATAATGTGGAGGCTTAAATTCCCCTTTGGAACAAGTATGTCAATGTTTTCAGTGAACCATCTAAATGGACATTTTAGTTAACACAAAGTGAAAGCAAAGTCTGTGCTCTGAAACGGAGAGGTTTGGGGCGAGGCAGGGGAAGACAAGCTGCAGGTGCATCTTTGCTGGTTCTATCTCCATTGATGACGGAGCCCTGGGCCGGCTGCTGTGTGCTCCTGTGGAGGTGTGCGTGGAAACTTCCGGGCACGGAAATCTTTCTTTAGGAAATAAGCAGTAGGCAAGAGATGGAAGAAGCTGCTTCCTTTGAGAGACTCTGAGGAGCTACGGGCACAAGCATTATTGCTTTAGGGAGCTGGCTACAAAATGGAGCAGTGAATGGAGGGAAGGACGCTGTCCAAAGCCACACAGAGCCCAGCATGTCTGGGCACCCACAGGCATTGGCTTGGGAATATTGGGAGCTACTAACCTGGAAGTGGATATTGGTGTTTTCACATGGGGGACCCGTAGCAAAGCCAAGAGGGTGGCGTTTGACTGGCTTCAGGGTGACAGCAAACAGTGGACATCGCCCAGGAGGAGAGCTCAGGAATGAAACATGGCACAAGCCATGTGGAAACCAAAGAGAAGAGGGTGCTGTGAACGCACATTTCCTGAGCTCTTTGGAGAGTCCCATAAATTATTACTGTGGTGATGTTTAGAATGATAGGATGGAATGTACCAGAAATTCAGGTGGAACAAACATATGTCATTGGAAGTTTAGCATCAACCATTAAAGTGACTGTATTTGTGCCCAAATACAATCAGAACTCCTGTGGCAGGCCAGTTATTTGCCCTGCCCTTACTAGTAGCTCCCAGTTCTCCCTGCACTTCAGAATCACCCAAGGAGCTCTGCAGAAACAAACCCACCCACCTCCACCCCCACACATGATACAGAGAAATTCAGTCACTGGGTCTGACATTTCTATTTTTTAAAAAAGAAAACTTTCCAGGTAATTCTGTCTTACAGATACTTTTATTAAAAATTGGGTTAAAGTTTGCAGAAATCAATTGGGGATACGCAACATCAAATATTTACCATGAAGGACCTTTCTTCAAGGTTGTATTTTATGTCTCTCAATCATTAGTAAGGCAAGTTCCTGAAGTTAAGGGATGTGGCTTTCACATCCTTGTATTTCCCACAGGAGGTAATGTGTGGGGAAATGAAATGCGTACTTGTGCTGCTGAAATGGCCTATTTGCTCATCCCAGTTTCCTCGATGGCACCGTGCACCGCACTCTAGTTCATCCATGCCAGCGCTCTTTGCTCTGCTGAGCAAAGTTGTTCATGAGGTTTGGCTCCCTCTCTGCTGGGATTTTGCCTCATCCTTTATTCTCAACCTTGACCCTGTCCAATTTGTTCCCACTAAACGCCATAACTTTGTATTTGCTTAATTGTCCTGGATTATCTTGGGCATTATTTTTGTTGTTGTTATCATTGGAAGGTGTTAACAACTCCTTCCTAGTATACACCATAATATAAAAACACATTAATTATGACATCTCAGTAATTTATGAAAATAGCAAATGCTAGTCCCATGCTTTGTGACAGGATCTTGCTCTGTCACCCAGGTGGGAGTGCAGTGGTATTATCATAGCTCACTGTAATCTCAGACTCCTGAGCTCAAGCCAACCTTCTGCTTTAGCCTCCTGAGTAGCTGTTACTACAGGTACACGCTATCACACCCAGCTAATTAAAACAAAAAATCGTAGAGATGGGCTCTCTCTATGTTGCCTATGCTGTGCTAAAACACCTGGCTTCAGGCAATCTTCTCACCTCAGCCTCTGAAAGTGCTGAGATTACAGGCGAGAACCACCGTGCCCAGCCGCTGCACCTTTCTGTTCCATGTTTTTCTCAGAACCCCCCAAATTTCCCAGACAGCTGGCTGAAACTTTTAATACATCCCTACAACTAATAATGCCACTTTCTTCCCACTCCTTGACAAATGATGTTGCCTCCCATGTTACTGCAGCTCCCCGTTATCTGCCCATCTCCACTGATGAAATCACTGCTGGGAATTAGAGGTACTCTGAATGTAAAACGGCCCCAGTTACTGGAAAGATCTCAGAAACTGTCATTAGTCATGGCTGCCTCATGCTCTCATCTGGCTGGTCTTCTTAATGTCACTGTAACATGTCACAGTGATTTGCATCTTTGCACCTTTGCAGGAAGCCCCTTCCTTTCCTGGAATCAAGCCTTCTTTTTACCCTTGTACAGTTACAAGCCTTCCTCCAACCTTCATGGTTTAAGGCCTTTCCAGCACTTGCCAAAACCCTTCCCTGCACACTCCCTGTTCTAAGTGCAACTTTTTCTGCTGTCTCAGAATTTGGGCAGAGGCTCTGAGTCTGAGAATCATTGTTCCTAGGCAGTTACAGAGAATGAAATGAGAGACCTGAGACCCTGGGCTCACACCCTGAAGACAAGGGAGCAAGGTGCTTTAAGAGGACCGCAGAGAGAGAGCTCTAGGTACTGGAATTTGTGGATGTACAGGTGATGGACACCCTCCTGGAGAATTAACGAAACATCTCTATCAAGAGCAGATTCTTCAAGAGTGCAGTCTATGAATACTGTTCCTGATCATTACCTCTCCTCAGCTCACTCCAGCCCCTCCACCCTAATTCTGGAGGAGCCACGAAAGGAGTAAATGGGGAAGGAAGAATGAGAGAACAAAGAAATTAAAAAGAAACTATAGCGCATTTCCTCCTCTAAGATAAGACTGAGTGGTGAGAGAGGAAGAAGTTGACATTACATAAGTAACACTTTGATGTTGGCCAACTTGACATTTTGATAATGGAAAATAAACAATGCAGCTGAGATGTCCAGCTCGGATGTCCTCCAAGGCCTGAGAAGGACAATTCTAGAGTGATCTAGGAATGGTGAGAAAGCCTTTGGCTTCTTTCTGCACACACCTTTCCAAGGGCACCTATTTTTTTTTTTTAATGATAACAAATGGTGACAAGAATATATGTTATCATTCAAATTAGACTGCATGTTTGAAATAATTGCCCAGAGTGTCCATCTGCTGCTGTGGGTATGGAAGGTACTCGATCATTATTGGTTGAGCCCCATCCTCCACATCCCTCTCAACATCTAATCCTTTTTTTTATCTCTCATAGGCAAGAGCAGCATTTATAGTCAAAGCTTATTTACAAATATTATGATGCAAAAGTAAGATTATATTCAAAAGGCTGCCAAAAGAGTCACTTTTCTTTTTCTTTTCTTTTTCTTTTTTTTTTTTTTGAGATAGCATTTCACTCTTGTTGTCCAGGCTGCTGTACAATCATGCAATCTCAGCTCACTGTAACCTCCACCTCCAAGGTTCAAGCGATTCTTCTTGCCTCCTGAGTAGCTGGGATTCCAGGCACGTGCCACCATGCCCAACTAATTTTGTATTTTTAGTAGACACAAGGTCTCACCATGTTGGCTAGGCTGGTCTCGAACTCCTGACCTCAGGTGATCCACCCCACTCAACCTCCCAAAGTGCTGGGATTAGAGTTGTGAGCCATGGTGCCCAACTAAGAGTCACTTTTTTGTGGATCGTTGCATGTCCTGAGGATATATGAAGTCAGGCAACAGAAAGAAATACCATGTCAAGATAATTCAGAACCCAGTTAGCTGAAAGCTTGTTCTACTAACTACATGTGAAGTAATGTTCTAGTTATTTCAGCTGTAATTCCAAATTCAAAATTGTTTACACCCTCTGGTTGCCTTTGTACTCATGGATAAAACATAACTGTGTCATCAATATTATCTGGCTCATAACAGCTTGCTACTAATGCTGCAAGGTTTTCAAACAGCTTTAGCCGACAGCACAAGCAGCGCAGAGTTTCTTAAGGGTTAATTTAAATGTTTATATTTAAGAAGCATATTCATCTCCCCTTACAATATCCATCAGCCATCTTGCATAAATGTATTTCTGCTGCTGTCATACCACTCTTTGGAGAATTTTATTTTTAACAATGAAAATAATAATATTTTAAAACCACCAAGCAAAAACAAGGCAAATATGATCATAAGATTACCTAGTCATATACTTTTCTCTAAAAACCATACCTATTTTGTTCTGTAGAAAAGGAATTCTAAGGCAGAGATGGGAGTGAAGGAGAGAACATTTTAAAATCAGGAGACAACAGAAAACATGTCTGAATCTTGAGGCAAAGTGGGGGCCACTTTGCAGCCTAGGCCAGTTTGTCTGTCAACCACCTCTAGAGAGGACAAAATAATTTCATGTTTACTAGCTACTATCTGCTGGTTATCTTACGTATATAACCTCATTCCTTCTCCTTGAAAATACTGCATGATTATCGCTTCATATCGATGAAAAAAGCGAAGCTGAGAGAGGTTAAAGTAAAATGCCAAGGTTCTGCAGTATAGCTAACGGTCACTGCTCTTGGCTCCTTTTTCAGAGAAAGCATGGCTAGAAGATCTTGAAAGTTACAGAAAGCCCCATGAGACAATGACTCATCTCTGATGTGTGGCAGAATGAGAAACCACACTTACAGTGGTATCCTCATCACTCTTCCATTGAAATGAACCCAATGCTCCCACATGCAATCCAACGAGAGATAAATATGACAAAACAAAGAAAGCTGCATGTTTGAAGTGCTTTCCAAGATGTCTTACCACACTCCTGATTGGGACTGTAATATCCAAGAAGCTTGACCCAATTTCTCTGAGATCCTGGCTTTCCCCTAACCTGACACTCTTGTTTTATTCTTGGTTTAGAGAATTCTTGCCCAATCTTTCTGCCTCTTTTATTCCAGACACTGGCTCCTCTCTCAGCTGTCTCACATGTTATGAATGATCTCGCCTCCATCACTTTTCACAGCTCTTTACAAGTGCTGACCATGGATCATATTCGAGTGTATCAGGGTCTAGGACAATGTGTTTACATTACAGAAATATGACTGGCTTTCACCCTTCTGAAACATCTCTTTTTATGGAAGACATTCATTGATACCTTCAGTCTTAAAAACTTGTTGGCATAGAAGAACAGGAAACTGGAAGAGGAGTTTTTTACTTTTATACTTTTATTTGCTAAATGTGTTAAACCCTTAAATGTGCTACATATGTACTATAAGGAATGCACACCATTGGTCAACTATCATAATTTATGCTCTGTAATTCACAATGCATACTTTATATATATGTGCCTTAGTTATAACTAATATGCTTCTTTTTTTCTTTAAAAATAATATAGATCAATGATATTTAATGTTTAAAGGAATTTTAAAGATCATCTAGCCCCAAAATATCATTTCGTAGGGGAATTTGGTCAATATCTCTTTAAAGAGGTAGAATGGAAAGCCAGGTTCCTGAGTTCTAATCATTCCCAGAGGTTCTCTTGTAGTTAAAGCATGATTTTTTAATTAATTAGCTTTCATCTTAGAAATCGTTTTTTATCATAAAGCTAATTTTCAGACATTTGGAAAACTGTGTGAGTTATCAACAGATGAAATTATGCTGTTCACTCATTTAACTGTTCATTGTGTGTTTTCCTTCCATCTTTTCTATCTTGTTTATTTATTAATCTCCAGAATTTAGAATTATGCCTTGAAAACAAATATTTGTAGAATGCATGAATCAATATGCAAAGTATAAGAAAGGTCTCTCTTTGAATTCTGACATAGCCCTATGAAATATTATAACATGGAAGCTGCCCTTTGATGTAACTGGTCCTAATTAAATCAATTCAGATAATGTAGTATAAACGATCTTTGGGAATACAGTATCATAATGTTTGAAAGTTATGAAAAATAAAGGGGAGCAGCAAATATGCATTTTTAAAAGCTATACACAAAATTGGCCTCGCTCACAGGGTCATTCAATTGTGTGTGTGTGTGTGTGTACACATACATATATATATATATATATAGAGAGAGAGAGAGAGAGAGAGAGAGAGAGAGAGTGTCTACTACATGTCAGGTACTATATTAGTTACTTTATATATTTAGCACCTCAGAGCTTGCTGAAAACAACCCTTATGGAAGATGCTATTATTATTCCCTATGTTAAAAGTGCAGAAACTGTTTTCAAGGTCACTCAAAAAGTAGTGCTGGTAAAACAGCTAGAAACTGGGTGTTTCTTGCTCCAATGCCTTTAAGGCTATACTGTGCTGTCTTCATAAATTGATCCACAATAGGTAGAGACAAGTAGAAACAAGCATATTTCCTGCAGTTTATTCATTTCCTTCCTATCTGTTTTTGCATAAAGTTTCACTTATAAAAATTACACAAAACTTGAAAGGTGAACAGGAGATATTAGGCTTAGAAGAATTCCTTATGATGAAGAACACTTTGGTACTGATTTTGTTAACACACTTTTCCAAGTAGCCTTATAAATCAAATAGAAATAATAATTTTAAAAACCCTAATGACTCAACATACTTCATTCCAATTGAAACCTACTGGATACATGTAATTCAGAGAACAGATTCTTCTCAGTTAACTTTATCCAAGACTCTAACTTTTTCAGTCAGGAAAAATATAGCCCATATGGAATGTTAACCTTTTATCACGGAATTATGATTTCATAGCTTCAAATTGCTGGTCCATGAGGAATAACAGCCGAGAGCTTACATATGGAGGTAACAAAATGTTAATGTCTTAGTCCTTTTGCATTGCTATAAAGGCATATCCGAGGCTGGGTAATTTAAAAGAAAAGAGGTTTAGTTCGCTCACGGTTCTGAAGGCTGTACAAGAAGCATGTCACCAGCACCTGCTTCTCTTAAGAGCCTCAGGAAGCTTCCACTCATGATGGAAGGTGAAGGGGAGTCTACATATAGAGACCACATGGCAGGAAGAGAAAGACAGACAGAGAGAAAGAGAGGAAAGGGGCCCAGGCCAGAGAGAGATATATATATATATAGAGAGAGGCTAGGCTCTTTTTAACAATCAGTTCTTGCAAGAACTCATCAAGTGAGAATTCACTCATTACCTTGAGGAGGCACCAAGCCATTCACAAAGGGTCTGTCCCCATGACTCGAACATCTCCCACCAGGCCCCACCTCCAACACTGGGGATTAAATTTCAACAAAAGACTTAAAGGGGACAAATATCCAAACTGTATCAACTAAAGAATTAATTTTGGGGGTGCTAGGTTTTCTCAGAAACTAAAAAATGAGATATAACTTGCCATTATATGATCTGTGTTTAAAGTACATTCTCTCTCGTCCATATTTCTCCAGGATGATATGCTTAACTTAGGTGTTAAAAATAAGTCCATCTGATTTATTTTCAAACTTCATAAAAAATTATAGATCATGTAGAAAAATTAATCTGTGTGACTAGTAAAAGAAAATGTGACAGCAATTTGGAGAATTTACTATAGCAGATATTAAATATGTTACAATGTATTAAATGTTAGAGGGATCAAAATAATACAGTTTTCAGGGCAGAATGAGCAGAGGAATGGAATAGAACAGACTCGAGAGATAAGACCCTCAAGGTTAATATAATAAAAAGATGAGATTTATTTCAAGTCAATGGGGAAACATGTTTTATTCAATAAATGATGCATAAAAAGTAATTTGTAGATTTTTGGTGAGAAATAAGTAACATTAGATTCATAGAAACCCTTCACACTAAAATAAAATCTGTATGAATCAAATATTTAAATGTTTTAAAAAGTGAAACTGTAACTAGAAAAGATTTTCATTAAATATCTCCAAGTGTAGAGAAGATCCTCCTAATAATGATAACAAAGACATAACGCCATAAAGAAAACAATACGGCCGGGCGCGGTGGCTCACGCCTGTAATCCCAGCACTTTGGGAGGCCGAGGCGGGCGGATCACGAGGTCAGGAGATAGAGACGATCCTGGCTAACACAGTGAAACCCCGTCTCTACTAAATATACAAAAAATTAGCCGGGCGTGGTGGCGGGCGCCTGTAGTCCCAGCTACTCGGGAGGCTGCGGCAGGAGAATGGCGTGAACCCGGGAGGCGGAGCTTGCAGTGAGCCGAGATCACGCCACTGCACTCCAGCCTGGGCAACAGAGCGAGACCCCGTCTCAAAACAAAACAAAACAAAATAAAGAAAGAAAACAATAATTACATCAAAATTATAGTTTAAATAATTTTGTTTTGAGATAGAGTTTCACTCTTGTTGCCCAGGGTGGAGTGCAACGGCAGGATCTCGGCTCACTGCAACCTCTGCCTCCCAGGTTCAAGCGATTCTCCTGCCTCACCCTCCCGAGTAGCTGGGATTACAGGCACCTGCCACCACGCTCGGCTAATTTTTTGTATTTTTAGTAGAGACAGGGTTTCACCATGTTGGCCTGACTTCTCTGGAGCTTCTGACCTCCAGTGATCCCCCTGCCTGGGCCTCCCAAAGTGCTGGGATTACAGGCGTGAGCCACCACGCCTGGCCATCTGAAATAATTTTGAAACGCCTTAAAAAGACCTGAAAATTAAATTACTTACTGGTAAACATATTTTCAACATGTATGACAAGAAATGGTTTCATACAAGAATATATGAAATGGTCATAAGAAACAAACTATAAGAAATAATTTCTTATACTTACTGTAAGAAACTTTTATCTATACCGTGCAATTATAATAAAAGAAAATAACCATAATAGTAAGCAATAAATAATGAAAATGTATTCAAGCTTCCTAGTAATTGGAGAAAGGCAATTTTACATGAGATGTCATGTTTCACCTAAATAATTGGAAAAATTAAAAAGAATAAAAGCACCCAGTGTTAGAGGATGCAAAGTAACCATACTGACATGTAGTTTGGGGGAAAGTGGAAATTGATGGAAACTTTCCAGGGTACCTTTTGGAACTAAGGACTCTAACACATTACATGTAAAATATTTTGCCCTTTGCAACTCTACTCCCAAAATTATATTTCAAAAATGTGACTAGACAAATTACTAGAGATGTGTCTAAGGAAGATCACTAATGTGCTGTTTTTATAATGAAATGTAGAGCAGCCTATAAACTTATCAATGCAAGACTCTTCAACAAAATAAATGGGATGCATCACCAAATGTGCTCATAGAGACCTGTATCTCTTGATATGGATAATGAGCACATTATATGAAGTAAAAGATGCAAGTTATAAAATAATACGTGAGACACAAAAACAGGTGTATGTGTATGTGTCCGTGTGTTTTCATGTGTACACACACACACACGCACATGGAAAACAGACTTGGAAGAATATGCACCCAGTGTTAATAGTGATTATCTCCAGGCGGTTTGATTCAAGAGGTTTTACCCTCTGCTTTTTTTTTTTTTTTGGTTTTGAGACGGAGTCTTGCTCTGTCACCAGGCTGGAGTGCAGTGGCGTGATCTCGGCTCACTGCAACCCCTGCCTCCTGGGTTCAAGCAATTCTCCTGCCTCAGCCTCCTGAGTAGCTGGGACTACAGGCACACGCCACCACACCCAGCTAGCTTTTGTATTTTTAGTAGAGACAGGGTTTCACCATGTTGGCCAGGATGGTCTCAATCTCTTGACCTCGTGATCCACCCGCCTCAGCCTCCCAAAGTGCTGGGATTACAGGCATGAGCCACTACATCCGGCCTTACCCTCCTCTTTAGGTGAAAGTACGTTGGCTAATTTTTTTTTCAGCCAACATTATGTTTTTATAATCAGAAAATGCAACATTTATTATGAAAATAATTCAATGAAAATGAGGTATAATAGTTTTAAATTACACATCTAGTATGACATTTAAAAATGTGTGGTATTCTGGTAATAATCATACTGGCACACAGTTCTGAAAAAAAAAATAGAAACCAATAATAAAACTTTTCCTAAGCCATTATGACCATGTTATTTTTTCCTCCAGATCAACTGGTATAGATTATTATCTATGTCATAATAATCTGTTATATAAAATGCAAATTAAGTACATTTTTATTTAAGAAAATTACAAATGTTACAGTTTGGTACAAAGTTATTGTCAGAGCCACTTAATTTGAATACATGTTATTTGTAGAAACGGCAATTGACTGTGTAGGAATTATGGCAAATTGATTGTAGTCTTTGTGGAAAAGGCTGGAGAATGCCACCTTCTGAAATCAAACCTAGTAAAAGTCAACACATTATAACAACTATGGTCATAATAACTACAATTTATTGATCCCTTACAATGACAGGCTCTGAAGTAAGCACTTTATACCCTTTATCAGATAATGCTTAAAACAGCTGTGTATAATAGTCACCTATACATCTGTATCAAAATATGGAAGCTCCTAGGGTTGCAAAGGTTTCATCTGGGGCCACCAGCCTGTAAGTATCATAACAAAAGTTCAAATCAAGTTTCTCTACTGTCTGAGCTATTGTCTACTAGGCTACATACTAAGCTTCGTCTCTTTTAGAGGAAAACTACAGAAAAATAAACCATCAGATAAAATCATTTGTAAATATGTCACTGATGTTGACTTGAAAAATATGTACTTAGAAACCTAAGAGACCAGGGTATAACCTCAGGTAGACATGATAGGATCACATTTGATAGATATATAACTTCATTTCAATGCCTTGGGCATGACCAAGTTGTGCAATTAGTAACCAGCAAGAGGTGGAGTTGACTTGAAAGTCCTTGCTGGCCGGGCGCGGTGGTTCACGCCTGTAATCCCAACACTTTGGGAGGCTGAGGCGGGTGGATCATGAGGTCAGGAGATCGAGACCATCCTGGCTAACAGTGTGAAACCCCGTCTCTACTAAAAAAATACAAAAAATGAGCCAGGCGTGGTGGCGGACGCCTGTAGTCCCAGCGACTCTGGAGGCTGAGGCAGGAGAATGGCGTGAACCCAGGAGGCGCAGCTTGCAGTGAGCAGAGATCGCGCCACTGCACTCCAGCCTGGGCGACAGAGCGAGACTCCATCTCACAAAAAAAAAAAAAAGTGCTTGCTACTGTTTGTCTGACACCATTCAATGCAAAGATATACTTTAAATATAGAAATAATTCTAGCCCTGCCTGAATGAACTCTCTTTCAAGATCACATAACTCTACTTCGGATGCTTTGATCATTGCTATGGTTTGGATATGGTTCATTCGGCCCCACCAAGTCTTCTGTTGAATTAGATCCCCATTGTTGGAGGTGGGGTCTGGTGGGACGTGTTTGGATCCTGAGGGCAGCTCCCTCATGAATGGCTTAGTGCCATTCTCAAGGGAGTGAATGACTTCTCATTGTTGGTTCTCCTGAGAACTGGTTGTTGAAAGGAGCCTGGCACCTCCTTCTCTCTCTCTTGTTTCCCCTTTCCCCATGGGACCTCTGCCCAGAAGACTCCTCTTCACCTTCCACCATGAGTGGCAGCGGCCTCAGGCCCTCCCCCAGAAGCAGATGCCAGCGCCATGCTTCTTGTACTGCCTGCAGGACTGTGAACTAGATAAGCCTCTTTTCCTTATAAAGTAAGTACTCAACCTTAGGTATTCCTTTATAGCAACACAGACTAAACAATTATCATTGTCTGTTGCTAATTTGAGCCCCCTTTCAATAAAACTATGACGTACACACACATATGCACACAAACAGACAGACAGACAGATGTATATATCAAAGTGTGTATAGTCTTCTGTATAACAGCATGATCACAGAGAACACTGTGGAAGGTATGCCCGTCATCTACTGCTATTCAACAAACCACCCCAAATGTTAGTGGATTAAATATTTTTTAGTTCTTAAAAATTAATTTTACTGGTAAATTTAAACAGGATTAAATTAAAGCAGCATTTGGTGGGCACTGCTTGCCTCTGCTCTGCTTGACAACAGCTGAGGAGGTTTAAAAGCTGGGAGGTGGAATTGTCTGAAAGCTCACTTGTTCTCAAACACGATGGTTGTCGATGCAAAGACTCAAACTGCTGGGAGCTGGTACACCTGGGTTCCTTAGCCATCTCTCTCCATTTCCATGTGCCTTTCCCTCTGGTCTCTCCAGCACAGAAGCGGTAGGAAACCTGGGCATTTACAATGTTGTTTGGGGGCTGCTAGTGTACAGGTCAACAAAAGAGGAAGTTAGATGCTACTTTGCCTTTTATGATTTAGCTTCAGAAGTAACAGCATAAGTTCTACTGTTTTCTGTTCTTAGAAACAAGTCACTAAGTCTGACCTAGGTCTGTGGGGAGGGAAATTAGAACCACTTTTTTTTTTTTTTTTGAAATGGAGTTTCTTTCTTGTTGTCCAGGCTGGAGTGCAATGGCACGGTCTTGGCTCACTGCCA